>NW_018654710.1:0-140361 GCF_000001405.40 Homo sapiens | reverse complement strand
ACTGTGTTTTCGCTATATGTGCTTTGTGGAATAATTTCAGGACATTTACAAAAACCACATGCGCACGGGAAGCTCAGCCTCATGTCATTTCAGTAGAGAGTAAAATATTATGATTACACATAATAATACTAAGTGGCCGGGCGTGGTGGCTCACACCTGTAATCCCAGCCCTGTAAACCTGCGTCTCCAGGGCTCAAGCGATCCTCCCACCTCAGCCTCCCAAATAGCTGGGATTACAGGCGCACACCACCATGCTCAGCTAATTTTTTTTATTTCTAGTAGAGACAGGGTCTTGCCATGTTGCCCAGGCTGGTCTCAAACTCCTGAGCTCAAGCGATCCTCTTGTCTGGGCCTCCCAAAGTGCCAGAATTACAGGTGTGAGCCACCACACCCAGTCATAAACTCGGTCATTTGTTTTGATTTTGGGTTTTTTTTTTTTTTTTTTTTGAGATGGAGTCTCACTCTGTCACCCAGGCGGGAGTTCAGTGGTGCAATCTCAGCTCACTGCAACCTCTGCCTCCCAGTTCAAGCAGTTCTCCTGCTTCAGCCTCCCAAGTAGCCAGAACTACAGGCGTGTGCCACCACGCCCGGCTAATGTTTGTATTTTTAGTAGAGACAGAGTTTCACCATGTTGGCCAGGCTGGTCTCAAACTCCTGACCTCAGGTGATCCACCCACCTCGGCCTCCCAAAGTGCTGGGATTACAGGAGTGAGCCACCACGCCTGGCCTACACTGGGTCATTTTTGAGAGTGAAAGTATATACTATTAATAATTACACTGGGACAAGAGACATGAACCAGGACTGTTCTAGGCAAACTTGGATGCAAGTTTACCCTACTGTGTGTGTGTGTGTGTGTGTGCTAAATATTACTACAAAAGTGTCAAAAAGGTTTAAAATGTTAAAAAGTTTATGTTACAAAGTTACAGTATGCTAATGTTAGTTTATTATTGAAGAAAGCAAGCATTTTAAAAAAATGTGTAGCCTAAGTTTAGCCTACTGTATGTATATGTATATTAGCCTACTGTATGTGTGTATATATAGAGAACACAAATACATATAAAGATTTATTTCCTGAAAAACAGTCAGAATCTAGGATTATTTAGTGTTAACTCTTCCTAAATCTTGGGTCTTTAACCTTTAAACTCGCAACAATAGTGATGGCTTCCTGGAGCTATTAATCAGAGTCCTCTGTTTGTCAACAATAACATGTCAAACATAATTCAGAAAACCAAAAGCTTCTTAACGTGCTGAATTTTACACTATTTTCCTAGAAGACATAAAATCACATATTTTGGCTGGGTGCAGTGGCTCACGCCTGTAATCCCAACATTTTGGAAGGCCAAGACAGGCGGATCACTTGAGGCCAGGAGTTTGAGACCAGCCTGACCAACATGCCGAAACCCCGTCTCTACTAAATTTAAATACAAAAATTAGCTGCACGTGGTGACACATGCCTGTAATCCCAGCTACTACAGAAGCTGAAGCACGAGAATCGCTTGAACCTGGGAGGCGGAGGTTGCAGTGAGGTGAGATCACGTCACTGCACTCCAGCCTGGGCAACAGAGAGAGACTCTATCTCTAAAAATAAAAATAAAAGTAAATCACCGTCTTTAGGCATGAAAATTATTCTAAAACATCTGAACTGAAAGGGATTAGAGTCCCCGAATCTCTTTGATCAAGTCATTATTCTTAGAAATTTTTTGCTCCTATCCCTGGGATACAGGCAAAGAAAAAGATGTCCTGTCCTCCTCCTAAATCCAACATAAAGAGAAAGTCAATACTCAGGTGGTCCGCCTGCCTCGGCCTCCCAAAGTGCTGGGATTATAGGTGTGAGCCACCGTGCCCAGCTTGCTATACTATACTTTTTATCATCACTTTAGAGTATTCTCCTTCTACTTATACTTTTTTTTAAAAAAAAAAGTTAACTGTAAACAGCTTCAGGCAGAGCCTTCAGGAGGTACTACAGAAGGAAGCATCATCATCATAGGTGACAGTTCCATGTGTGTTTTTGCCCGTGAAGATCTTCCAGTGGTACAACATGTGGAAGTGGTAGACAGTGATATTGATGATCCTGACCCCGTGTAGGCCTAAACTAATGTGTGTGTTTGTGTCTTAGTTTTTCACAAAATTTTAAAAAGTAAAAGAATAGGCCAGGCGTGGTGGCTCACGCCTGTAATCCCAACACGTTGGGAGGCCGAGGCAGGCAGATCACTTGAGCCCAGCAGTGTAAGGTTCTTGTATCGGTTCCAACCCCAAGAGCGCGTCCACAGACAACACGAGGAGGTGTGGAGCAATAAGCTGTTTTAAGGAGCGCCTGGGTGCGCCTGAGTGCAGGAAGGCCGAGGCTTAAAATGGCGTCAGCACCAAGTGAGGACGGGGCAAAGGTTTTACAGTCTCCTGTAAACAGGAAGTGTCCTAGTCTGACGTAACTGCTACGTTGTACCCGGATGGCCTCTTTCTCGATCTTCGGGGGTACGTGTCTTCCAGCCGGCTCTCTTCCTGCTTCTGCTATCCTGCTGGCGCACACTGCTGACACAAGTGACCTTGCGCCTTGGGACTGGGCCTGGGAAGGGAGGGGTTACTCATCCCCTTAAGCTTTCAGACCCTGGGGAGAATCATACAAGGAGTTTGAGACCACCCTGGGCAACATAGCAAAACGCCATCTCTATTAAAAAAAAAAAAAAGAAAAAAGTTTATATAGTAAGGATAAAAAGAAAATATTTTTGTACAGCTATACAATGTTTGTGTTTTAAGCTACCACAAAGGTGTCAAAAAGGCTTAAAATGTTAAAAAGTTTATAAAGTTACAAAGTTACAGTATGCTAATGTTAGTTTATTATTGAAGAAAGAAAAGCATTTTAAAAAAATGTTGTGTACCCTAAGTGCACAGTGTGTATAAAGTCTACAGTGGTGTACAGTAATGTCCTAGGCCTTCACATTCATTCACCCTCCTCACTGACTCACCCAGAGCAACTTCCAGTCCTGCAAGCTCCATTCATGGTAAGTGTCCTATACAGGTGTACAATCTTTTTTTTTTTTTTTTTGAGACAGAGTATCACTCTGTCACCCAGGCTGGAGTGCAGTGGTGTGATCGCGGCTAACCGCAAGCTCTGCCTCCTGGGTTCATGCCATTCTCCTGCCTCAGCCTCCCGAGTGGCTGGGACTACAGGCACCCACCACCACGCCCAGCTAATTTTTTTGTATTTTTAGTAGAGACGGGGTTTCACCGTGTTAGCCAGAATGGTCTCTATCTCCTGACCTCGTGATCCGCCTTGCCTTGGCCTCCCAAAGTGCTGAGATTACAGGCGTCAGCCACTGTGCCTGGCCAGGTGTACAGTTTTTTAATCATTTATACCATATTTCTTGTTGGGAACAGGCCCCCCCAAATCTGGCCATAAACTGGCCCCAAAACTAGCCATAAACAAAATCTCTGCAGCACTGTGTCATGTTCATGAGGGCCATAACGCCCACGCTGGAAGGTTGTGGGTTTACTGGAATGAGGACAAGGAACACCTGGCCCACCCAGGTCGGAAAACCGCTTAAAGGCGTTCTTAAACCATGAACAATAGCATGAGCAATCTGTGCCTTAAGGGCATGTTCCTGCTGCAGATAACTAGCCAGACCCACCCCTTCATTTCGGCCCATCCCTTCTTTTCCCATAAGGGATACTTTTAGTTAATCGAGTATCTATAGAAACAATGCTAATGACTGGCTTGCTGTTAATAAATACATGGGTAATCTCTGTTTGGGGCTCTCAGCTCTGAAGGCTGTGAGGCCCCTGATTTCCCACTTTACACCTCTATATTTCTGTGTGTGTGTCTTTAATTCCTCTAGTGCCACTGGGTTAGGCTGTCCCCAGTCGAGCTGGTCTCGCATTTCTACTGTACCTTTTCTATGTTTAGATTTGTTTAGATACACAAATACTAGTGTAGTAGGCTGATCCATCTAGGTTTGTGTTAGTACACTCTATGATGTTCACACAACAATGAAATTTCTCAAAATGTATCCCATTGATAAGAGATGCATGGGGGAAGAGGAGGCTAGAGAATGTAGGCATGGGCCGGGCGTAGTGGCTTACTCCTGTAATCCCAGCAATTTGGGAGCCCGAGGTGGGAGGATTGCTTGAGCCCAGGAGCTCGAGACCAGCCTGGGCAACATAGTGAGACCTCATCTCTACAAAAAATAAACAAAATTAGCCGGGCATGGTAGCAGGCACCTGTGGTCCCAAATTCTTGGGAAGCTGAAGTGGGAGAATCCCCTGAGCCAGAGAGATAGAGGCTGCAGTGATCCAAGATCACGCCACTGTGCTCCAGCCTGGGCAACAGAGCGAGACCTTATCTCAAAAAAATAAAAATAAAAAGAGCTAGAGAATGGAGGTGCAAGTGAGTAGCGGTGGTGCAGGCGAGCTTGCAGCCCAAGACCCTGCCTCTGCCCTCAGCAAGGCCCCTGGCAGGGCCAACAACTGCAAGCTGCATGGTGAGGGCCCAGGTCATAAGGAATGGGCACATCTGGATGTGAGAGTGGGGTTGAAAAATATAGGCCAGTAAAGCTGAATGAAAATGACAGGAATGAATACACTGTGGGCAGGCTGGAGATCTTTGCAAGAGAAGGGAATATGCCTCACATCATCTTTGCTGGCCCCCTGGGAACTGACAAAGTTATAAGCATCCTGGGCCCAGCACTGAAGGATGCCATGCTGGAACTCAGTGCTTCAAATGGCAAGGGCATTGACGTTGCGAGGAATAAAATCAAAATGTTTGCTTGACAAAAAGTCATCCTTCCCAAAGGTCAACATAAGATCATCTTCCTGGATGAAGCAGACAGCATAACTGATGGAGTCCAGCAAGCCTTCAGGGGAACCATTGAAATCTGCTCTAAAACGACTCACTGTGTTCTTGCTTTTAATGCTTCAGATAAGATCACCGGAAGGCCCATGTGACAGCAGCATAGATGAAGGATCAGAGAGAGGCCAAATTGGGGTTTGGACATCATGAAGAAGCTGTTGTAGTAGTCTAAGGAGAAGAAAAAGGAGAGTTTTAGAATTCTACATTTGTCTGACTGGTGGTTCTTAGCTCCAGCTGCAGGTCAGCATCTCCAGTGGAGCTTTAAAGAAACTGTGAGTGTCCTGTTCCTACCCCCAGCCAGACCGAATTGTCATCTGCCCAGAAGGGCCCAACGCCCAGCATACATTGTGATTCCAGAGTCTTCCTGGGCCTGAATTGACTCATCTGAGGGCTTGTGGCACATGGATGTCTGCCTTGGAGGATCATTTCTCCATCTGAAAGCCCTGGCCAGCCAAGGCCATTGCTGGGGCAGTGCTGGCTGAGGCCTCTGTCTGATTTGCACTTCAATTGGGTGATTTGGGGAAGGATCTTAAAAAGCTGGAGTTCACTCTAGATTAGATGTTAGCAGAAAGCAGGGTTAATTTTGTGATTAGTTATCTCAAGGAATCTTACCCATGGGGAGGGGAGACTAGAACACGGATAAACCTGTAATCCATAAAGAAGTAGCAGTTAATCATTTTGGCTGAGAGAGAGAGGGCTTGGAATTTTGAGAGTGGAGCATTGACTTTGTTTTTGTCTGCGCTTAGACAAAGTTAAGAAGTGGCTTTATTTTATCTCATTTCATCCTGGTCTCGGAGTAGCCTTGTCTGAAGTTGTTATTCTGTGAGATTGTTTATGTCTAATAGGGGAGTAACATGTCCTCACTGTGAGTGCCAGGCCAGCATCTGAATGTCAGAGCCTGCTCTTTTTTCTCACTTTTTTTCTCATTAATCAGACTACAGTCCATAGAGATAACTCATGCTCTGTGTGGTTATGTAATTTGCCATGGAGCTAATCAGTGGGCCTTCTGAGTGTAGGCGGCCTGAGTCCAAAGCTCACACTCTTGCCCGTGAAGCTTTATAGCCTCCCTCATGCTTGGAAAAGGAAAAGCAATTTATAAAGCAATACTTTATACTTTGGTTAATACTTTGACATTTAGCCTTGTTTTTACTGCATTTCTCTTAAGCACCTGCTGCCAAAGAGGAGTCGCACCACCAGCATGGCTGGGCTGTGTGGATTATGCAGCTGCATCCTCGTAATCAAAGCACTAATAGGGTGATGCCAGCCTCTGAGGGAAACCTCACTGCCTTCCCGTCTCTGTTCAGAGGCCACTGGATCCCAGTGCATAGTCCTCCGCTACACAAAGCTGACCGATGCCCGGACCAGTGTGAGGCCAATGAATGCTAGAGAGAAGGGTACAGTTCTGTACACTGACTTTGGCCTAGAAGCCATCATCCTCATGGGTCAGGGAGACATGAGACAGGCCCTGAACAACTTGCAGTCCATCTTCCCAGGATCTGGCTTCAGTTACAGCGAGAAGTATGTTCAGGGTCTGCGACGAGCCCCACCCCCTGCTCATGAAGGAGATGATCCAGCACTGTGTGAATGCCCATGTCAAGGAAACCTACAAGATTCCTGCTCACCTATGGCATCTGGGCTACTCACCAGAAGATGTCATTGGCAACATCTTCCAAGTGTGTAAAACTTTCCAAATGGCAGAATAACTGATAAAGTGGAGTTTGTCAAGGAAATTGGATACACTGGTATGAAAGCAGAGGAGGAGTGAACTCCCTTCTGCCGACAACGGGGCTCCTGGCCAGGCTACGTCAGAAGACAATGGCCCCAGTGGCCATAGAGCAGAGGCTTTATTGATTGAGTTACAAGAGCCCTAATCCCTGTAATACAGGAGGTGCAGCCTTCTGAAGTGGAGGGGGAAGCGTGGGTGGGGAATGCCACCTTAAGCTGGTGCCAGCATACACCATACTTTAAACCCTCGTGGTTTTCACGTTGCTTCTAGCTGATCTCTGCTCCATGAGTGTTTGCATTCAACCTCAGACTCACTGACGAGTGATGGAGCGGGGCAGAAAGGCTCAGAGAAGCTCAGGGCAGGCACCTGATCTGTGTGTGAGTTGACATTTAGCTCATAAAGCCTTGCAGTGTTTGTTGTA
This sequence comes from Homo sapiens, assembly GCF_000001405.40. Taxonomy (NCBI): domain Eukaryota; kingdom Metazoa; phylum Chordata; class Mammalia; order Primates; family Hominidae; genus Homo; species Homo sapiens. The sequence continues at coordinate 133,370 of NW_018654710.1, read as the reverse complement.
AGGTGACCACATGAGGCCTCAAGGAAAACCAGCTTCCTGTCTCTGCCCTTGCTTGTTCCTCCCCTTTCTACTTGTGGCCCCTAGCAGCCTGCAAGTAGGAAGATGACTAGAGAGTAGATTGGACAAGCTAATCTCAATTCTTCTAGAAGCATGAAGGGACCAGTTCCCTGGGGTGAGGGCAGAGTTTGCTGTATTTTATTTAGATAGACTTCTCAAAACCAGGGCAATAAGCCCTTCAGGAAGGGCTTGCTGAGGGGGTGCCGACTGGCAAAGCACCACACAAAAACCCCAGCATGATGCCTTTCCCATGTCCTCGAGGGAACTCTTGGCCTTCGCTTTAGAATTCCCCAGTGAATTTTATATTAATTTGTAGAATTGCCTTTTTATTTGCAAGGGTACTATTTTTTCCCATTTTTTAAAATTAAAATTGCAATCATATAAAAAAGAGATGCATGACTGCATAGGATACCACCGTATATTAATTGCTAAGAAGCAGGAAGGTGGGTGGTAAAATCAACTGCTGGCTGGACCTCAGACACCAGCAAAACTCTAGAATTGGCTACCGCTGTTGTAACATTAATTTCTCATCTCAGAAGAAATAAAAATTAGAATTACTAAGGAGTGGGAGGACTTAGGGCACAACACAGCATTCCTGGTTTTTCCCTTTTGCTTATTATCTCCACTGTTATAAAGGCCCATTATGGCTGGGTGTGGTGGCTAACACCTGTAATTCCAGCACTTTGGGAGGCCGAGGTGGGCAGATCCCCTGAGGTCAGGAGTTCAAGACCAGCCTGGCCAACATGGTGAAACCCTGACTCTACTAAAGGTACAAAAATTAGCTGGGCGTGGTGGCAGGCGCCTGTAATCCCAGCTACTCGGGAGGCTGAGGCAGGAGAATCTCTTGAACCCAGGAGGCAGAGGTTGCAGTGAGCCAAGATCGCACCACTGCACTCCAGCCTGGGTGACAAGAGCAAGATTTCATCTCAAAAAAAAAAAAAGAAGGCCTGGCACAGTGGCTCACTCTTGTAATCCCAGCACTTTGGGAGGCCGAGGCGGGCGGATCACAAGGTCAGGAGATCGAGACCATGGTGAAACCTCGTCTCTACTAAAAATACAAAAAATTAGCCGGGCGTGGTGGCGGGCGCCTGTAGTCCCAGCTACTCGGAGAGGCTGAGGCAGGAGAATGGCGTGAACCCTGGAGGCGGAGCTTGCAGTGAACTGAGATTGCGCCACTGCACTCCAGCCTGGGCGACACAGCGAGACTCCGCCTCAAAAAAAAAAAAAAAAGCCCCATTAAATCGATCAAGTGCAGGGTGCCTGTGTCATCCTACACACCGAAAGTTGCACATCCTGAACTTCAATGTGAGTGTGTTATGCCTGTGTATATTGAACATTTGAAACAGGCTCCATAGACCATTATAATAATAAATTTCAGACAAGGAATAACATTCACACATCCCCCCTCCCGGGCATTTATTGAGTAACCTTTATGTGCCAGTCCTCTAAGCCAATTAGTGAGAACACAAAAATAAAGATGGAATAGACTCTGCCTTTATGGGGCTCTCCCATCTATTTTGAGGGACTGATGTCTAAACAAAATAATTAGATAAGTGATAGTTACCCTTATAGTGGTATGAACATGAGGAGCCACGGAGGCAGTATTTAATTCAGCCCAGAAGATTAGGAAGGGTTCAGGAAAATCTTTTACAGACAAACTGACGCTTGAGCTGAGACTTGAAGAAAGGGTAAAATTTCTCTGGTTGAAAAATAAACTGGTGTCTCATTGAGAAGGATCAATATGTTGAAAAACAAGAACAACATGAAATAACATTGTGCATTTGGGAAATGACAAGCGGTTCGGCGTGATCAATCAGAAAGCGTGGGGACAGACAGCGGAGGCCAGGTCTAGGATGCCGCGCTAAGGGATCAATATTGGATCCTGGAGACAATGGGAGTCCATGAAATTTTTCAAGCAAATGAACAGCATGATTTGATGTGTTTTGATTCTCATCACTCCAGCATCTGTCTGAGTGCAGCTTGGAGGAAGACAACACTGGGCAGAGTCAGGAGGCTGTTGAAAGTCCAGCTGAGATATGATAAGACCCTATGTAAGGCAGCTACAATGGCAGGGGTTTGGGGGTGGGAGGTGGTTGGGGCAGAGGAGAGAAGGAGAAAGATTTGAAAAAAGGTTAGAGAAATACAAGACTACGCCATTATGGAACAAGAGCGATGTTCTGTAATATGCACTTTCTGGCCCCTTTATTGCTTTTCCTGTCTTCTTACCAGTGCTCTAATTTAAGTGCTGGTATCTCTGCTCCGATTCTCTCACTGTGTACATATGAAACTTTATAGAACAAGAAAGAGTGCTGGCCAGGCGCGGTGACTCATGCCTGTAATCCTAGCACTTTGGGAGGCCGAGGTGGGCAGATCACGAGGTCAGGAGATCGAGACCATCCTGGCTAACACGGTGAAACCCTGTCCCTACTAAAAATACAAAAAAAAAAAAAAAATTAACCAGGCGTGGTGGTGGGCGCCTGCAGTCCCAGCTACTCAGGAGGCTGAGGCAGGAGAACTGCTTGAACCCAGGAGGCGGAGGTTGCAGTGAGCTGAGATCACGCCATGGCACTCCAGCCTGGGCGACAGAGCGAGACTCCGTCTCAAAAAAAAAAAAAAAGAGTGCTACAAAACAGAGAGCACATCTGCCTTTAAGTCTAACGAGAATGTTAGGCAGGGCACAGTGACTCACGCCTGTCATCCCAGCACTTTGGGAGGCAGAGGAAAATGGATTGCTTGAGGAGATCAAGACCAGACTGGGCGACATAGTGAGACCCTGTCTCTACATAAAGAAAATACAAAACATTAGCTGGGCATGGTGGCATGCACCTGCAGTCCCAGCTACTCAAGAGACTGAGGTGGGAGCTTGAGCTTGAGCGTGGGAGGCAGAAACTGCAGTGAGCTGAGATTGTGTCCCTGCACTCTAGCCTGGACAACAGAGCAGAACTCTATCTCAAAAAATAAATAAATAGAATTAAGAGAATGCTAGTACAATTCCTAATAAGGCATTGCCTAGGGATGGCTAAAATACATGATTTCCTTGTCAAAACATGAAGGGATAAACCACAGCAGTGTTTTGGCCCAAGAACTATTTGGTGCTTATTAAAAATGTAGGTTCTGGGCTGGGCGTGGTGGCTCATGCCTGTAATCCCAGCACTTTGGGAGACCGAGGTGAGTGGATCACCTGAGGTCAGAAATTCGAGACCATCATGGCCAACATAGCAAAACCCTGTCTCCAATAAAAATACAAAAATTAGCCGGGCATGGTGACCCGCGCCTATAATCTCAGCTACTCAGGAAGCTGAGACAGAAGAATCACTTGAACCCGGGAGGCAGAGGTTGCAGTGAGCTGAGATCGCACCACTGCACTCCAGCCTGGGTAACAGAGCAAGGCTCCATCTCAAAAAATAAAATAAAATAAATAAAATAAAAAATAAAAATGTAGGTTCTGAGGTCTTCTCCTGATCTAATGATGCAGGATTTAGCCAAAAGATCAAGATGGTAATTTGCATTTTTAATAAGCAAGGTGATTCTTAGGCACACTGGAGTTTGAAAACCACCCGATGGTTTCGAAAGTCCCTTCCAAGCCTAATTTTTCTTTAATCACAAAATGGCTTCATAGAGGATAAATTTTTTCAGGAATCTTTGAGAGGATTAAATATCTTTGAGAGGGATAAACAGGATGAAGTCAGCCTTAACAATGTCACTCTATTACTAATAACAACATTTATTCAGTGTTCATTTGTGCCAAGTATGTGCCAAATGCCTTATACACATAATCCCACTTATTCATGTCAATGTCCTTTAGCTAAAGACCACCAGGGACACACCTGTCTTTAAACAAGTTGAGCTTATTACTTGTTGCAGCAAGGGAGGACATGCTCCTTGGGGAAGCATGGAGTGTCTCAGTAAGAGAGCTTAGAAAGAAATTGTTATAGGATTTGCACTTCAGTTGTGCGATTTGGGGAAGGAGCTAAAAAAGTTGGAGTTCACTCCAGATTAGATGTTAGCAGAAAGCAGGGTTAATTTTGTGATTAGTTATCTCAAGAAATCTTACCCGTAGGGAGGGGAGACTAGAACACGGATAAACCTGTAATCCATAAAGAAGTGGCAGTTAATCATTTTGGCTGAGAGAGTGAGGGCTTGGGATTTTGAGAGTGGAGCATTGACTTTGTTTTTGTCTGCGCTTAGGCAAAGTTAAGAAGTGGATTTATTTTATCTCATTTCATCCTGGTCTCGGAGTAGCCTTGTCTGAAGTTGTTATTCTGTGAGACTGTTTATGTCTAATAGCGGAGTAACATGTCCTCACTGCGAGTGCCACGCCAGCATCTGAATGTCAGAGGCTACTCTTTTTTCTCACTTTTTTTCTCATTAATCAGACTATAGTCCATGAGATAACTCCTGCTCTGAGTGGTTATATAATTTGCCATGGAGCTAATCAGTGGGCCTTCTGAGTACAGGCGGCCTGAGTCCAAAGCTCACACTCTTGCCCGTGAAGCTTTATGGCCTCCCTCACGCTTGAAAAAGGGAAAGCAATCTATAAAGTAGTATACGGTACTTCTCAGTCTTGGGCCCAGTGACCATAGAAACCTTTCCCTTGCTTGTTATCGTAAGTTCACTACCAGGGACTGATCTCTAGTTAGACGACGTGCCCACGAAAGGCATAGTTAAAAGCTGTCTTAAAGCATTGGGTTAACGAAGTCAAAACTAGCCAAGATAAGAATCTAGATTTGTGTCCGGCCCTGGACTGGAAAATTGTGTAAAGACAAAAATGTAAGGTAGAGCAGTCTCTGCCATCCAGGGAAATGAGTCAGTGCTTGTGGCATTCTACCTCAGCAACCTCTCTGGAATCCTGGAGCAATTCTATAATGGCATAGATCTTTCCCAGAAAATTCACAGGGAATAATTCAATCATATAGACAGAGCCACGAATTTCAGGTCAAAAGTTCAGACTGATGCACAGATAAATTTAGAAAACACTAACAATCCAAATAAAAGCAACACAGAGCAGTATGTACAGGACAGCGTTAGAATATACCAGAGAACAAGGACACAATCTACAATCATTTCCAGTGAATGCAGGATGTTAAAGAGATGCATAAAATCCCCTTACCGCTGAGGGCCCCTTTTGTGTTGTTCTTGCCAACGCAGCAGCCATCCTGCTATATAGACTGGCTGTGCAGCCGCAGGCCCCATCACACTGAACTCGCATCATCCGTGTCAACCAGCCATGGGGAAGGTGAGCAGAACACAAATTAAATAAAATGAAAAAAAAGTTGCCTTTATATAATGCCTGTTAGGAGCAAATAATGTAATTCGGAACGATTCTTCCTTTGCAGATCACCTTCTATGAGGACAGGGCCTTCCAGGGCCGCAGCTACGAAACCACCACTGACTGCCCCAACCTGCAGCCGTATTTCAGCCGCTGCAACTCCATCCGGGTGGAGAGCGGCTGCTGGATGCTCTATGAGCGTCCCAACTACCAAGGTCAACAATACTTGCTGCGGCGAGGGGAGTACCCCGACTACCAGCAATGGATGGGCCTCAGCGACTCCATCCGCTCCTGTTGTCTCATCCCCCAAGTGAGTTTTCTAGATTTCCATCATGCCGCCAGAGTCCCCACTGTATTGTCAATGTGGGTTACAGGGAGGGAGGTTTGCATTTAAAAACACCTAAGGGTTAGATGGACATCAGAGACCTGAATAAGCCAGATAGATAACATGCACAAAAACAGCAGAGAATGTAAGGAAGAACCCACTTAGAGGAAGAATCCGTTTTACTTGAAATTTTTGCTACCAATAAGTCAATTAAAAGAGGTCTGTAACAAATGTAATATCATAATGGGATATAAAACAAAACTTGCAAATGGGAAGCTGGTTGGGCATAAAAAGACGGTATTTTTAACAAATTATTTTGTCTATAGTAAAAGAATTTCTAATGAATGAATTAGATAGATTCCACCATGGACTAGTAAACCTTCAAAGCTGTATTGTTAATATAGGCTATTCAAAGGTTGTGTCCAACTTTGGAAAAGGTAATTTTTCTTAATTTGGAAAATCAGTTAAATTCTCATTCCAAATGACTATTTAACTTTACACTGAAGTACAAGATTTTTTAAATCTTACTTTAGTGGTAAATTTATATGTTTGTAAATTTGGGAGATAATACCCTTACTAAAAGAATACTAGTGAAAATAAATTATTTCTATTTTTCCCCCCAAATGTAGTTTGAATTAACACAGGTAATTAGGAATCAAGATATCTCAGTTCTTGATGGATTCTAACTCAGAGTTTGAACCTCTTAAAAATTCCATCTCCTAAATAAGAATGAATTTCAGGTCAAATAGAAAATGAGCGTGCCAGTATTTAGGTGCTAGTGGAAGACAGATCCATGCGCAGCAACCACAGTAATCTACATTTTACACTGTCTAAATTTTACAATGACAATTCCATGCCACAACCTACCAAGTTCATCTGTTCTTTGGTTGGACAAATTCTGGAAGAGACTCATTTGCTTTTTTCCATCCTTCTTTCTGTGGACCGAGTAGACAGTCTCCCACAGGCTGCGGCTGTACGAGAGGGAAGACCACAAAGGCCTCATGATGGAGCTGAGTGAAGACTGCCCCAGCATCCAGGACCGCTTCCACCTCAGCGAGATCCGTTCCCTCCACGTGCTGGAGGGCTGCTGGGTCCTCTACGAGCTGCCCAACTACCGGGGGCGGCAATACCTGCTGAGGCCCCAAGAGTACAGGCGGTGCCAGGACTGGGGGGCCATGGATGCTAAGGCAGGCTCTTTGCGGAGAGTGGTGGATTTGTATTAAAATAGCTTAACACTACCAATTTCCCATTTTGGAACCTAATAAATATTTAGTCTGCATTGCTGGCAATTGCTGACTTCTGTCATTCTTTCATTGTGCAAATCAGTTCACCTTTAAATGCTCCTTGTCAAAAGTTAAGAAGTGAATGGGGTGGGGGACGGGGTCTATTGGAGAAGAGCTTCAAGGTAGAGTGAGTTTGAACAAGCCTCAGACGTTGGGGTGGAGGCAGGGTGTAGCCTGCCCGAGAAAGAAAACGCAGGGCAATGCCAGAGACCTGGGAGAGGCTGACTGGTGAGAAGGGAGGCATTCAACTAAGCACCTTGAGGAACAATAGTTGGGAAGTTTCCTTCTAACCAAAAATGGGTTAGACAAAAGGCAAAGTCAGATGAGTGGAGAGGGCAAACTTAACTTGGCCAACAGCCTGATTAGACTATATAAAGGATTGTAGTTTTGTTTACTTTCAGACACAGTATTATATAACTAATGCCAGGGCCACCGCAGCCATTGCCGTACCTTTGAACAAAGTTAAAGACTATTCATCTTCTTTTGAAAATGACTCCTGTCCAGAAGTGTAGCTCTTGGTCGGTACTACCCCTGGCCCAAATGCTGTGTCAATTATAGAAACTGCACATCAGTTTCATGGTGACCAGCTATTGCAAATAAATTAATATTAAGAGATACACATCAATCTTTTAAATAGATTTTCATGGTATAGTGTACCCCAAACATAAAAAATAACTACAAAAAACATCGTTCTGGCATAAGGACGCATGTATGCATATGTTTATCACAGCACTATTCATGACAGCAAAGACATGGAATCAACCTAAATGCCCATCAATGGTAGGCTGGATTTTACAAAGTGGTACATATATACAATGGAATACTATGCAGCCATAAAAAAGAATGAGACCCTGTCCTTTGCAGCAACATAGATGGAGCTGGAGGCCATTATCCTAAGCAAACTAACACAGGAACAGAAAACAAAATACCTCATGTTCTCGCTTCTAAGTGGGAGCTAAACTTTGAGTACATGTGGACAAGAAGAAAACAAGAGACACTGGGGCCTGCTTGAGGTTGCAGGGTGGGCGGTTGGAGAGGATCAAAAAACTACCTGTCAGGTACTATACTTATCACCTGGGTGATAAAATAATCTGTACACCAAACCTTCACAACATGCAATTTACCTGTATTACAAACCTGGATACGTGCCCCTAAATCTAAAATAAAAGTTTAAATAAACAAATACGTAAGTCCTGTAATTACAAAATGGGCTCAAATTTAAAGGTGCTTTAAAGAAGCCATAATTTCTGGAGCCTTTTATTAAACTAAAATCTGCTTGCTCATAAGCAAAGCCCTAAAAAGTAAAAATAAAAAAAAAAAAAGAAAGCAATTACGAGTCTTTTCATCAGCAGAGAATTTATTTATTTTAACTTAAAAATTTCCCTTCAAAGTAAAAGGCCTCCCATAATCTTACTACTGTACAAATTCTATAAAGAAGTTGAGGGGAGTCCTTCTGACGCCCCTCATTGCTAACTCTTGTTTATAGTTGGTGGGCACCCTTCTGGGATTTTCTCCTTGTTTATATAGCTCTCTTATAAAACACATGCTTCTTTTCTTTACAAAAATGGAATCATGCTATACATATTAGTCTGCAACTTGCTTTTAAAATGTATTATAATATGGACATATATCTAGGTCAGTATCTTATTCTGTTTGATGGTTGAATTGCATCCCATTGTTTGGAGGTCCCTTAGACCATTTCACCATTTGTCCACTTAAGTGACTGGGCTTTTCCAATGTTGCTTTTACCAACAATGCTGCAAAGAATAACATTGTACATATACGCTAATCCTGACATGCCATAATTTTAAAAAGATAGCGACCTAGAAGTGAGACTACCGGCTCATAGTGCAAGTTTATTTTATTTTATTTATTTATTTTTTGAGACATGGTCACACTCTGTTGTCCAGGATGGAGTGCAGTGGCACAAACCCAGCTCACTGCAGCCTCGACCTCACAGGCTCAAGCGATCCTCCCATCTCAGCCTCCTAAGTAGCTGGGGCTACAGGCGCGCACCACCATGCCTGACTAATTTTTTCACTTTTTTGTAGAGAAGGGGTCTCACTATGTTGCCAGGGCTGGTCTCGAACTCCTGGGCTCAAGTGACCCTCCCACCTTGGCCTCCGAAAGTGCTGGGATTACAGGTGTGAGCCACCACACCCAGCCACAAGTTTATTTTCCATTTCAATAGCCTCCAATTATTAGCCACTAGAGACTCTTAACTTCCTTGAGTTAGGATCCTTACCAATTTTTGAGCACCTACCATACGCCTGCTATATGTAGCAATGGGGATGAAGAAAACAATCAAAACAAAACAAAAGAAAAAGGTATTTCCCTACCACCGTAGAGCTCTATATAGAAAGAATACAAAAAAAAAAAAGCAGCCAGAAAATAAGAATTAAAATAATTTGTATTGCACATAGTTGGTGTTTAATTCATAAATACCACTTACAAAGATTTATGACTCAAAGACAAGACAAAGTACTTCCATGGGTTGACACAGGGCTGTAAGCAATTCTTTGAACATGAAAGAAGCTGGACACATAGGTCATATTCCACTCCAGTACTCTTCCCAGTCCATCAAACTGCTCTCTTCCAGGCCAATAAGTACTTTCTGAAGTCTTCCTCGAGTCCAACTTCTAGATTTTTATTCCTTCCTCTCCCTGCATCATTCCAGCCATAGCTCCCCTTTGTGTTCATGCAATTAATTTCGTCTGAGTCAAAGGCCTTGTGTACTCTCGCTCGTTCAGAGGGCAAAGGTGTATTCTAGATCCTACCAGAAATAAGTTTCTTAGGAATTTGGTTTTATTTTATAACAAGCTAAGAGATCATGTTTTTGTGTTTCAAACATATTACTTTTTCTAATTTCCTCAAACTTAGATATTTCCCTTTTTAGTTCTTTCTGAGATTAAGCATCTTAGAACTATTCTCTCTTTTGAATCACGGCACCACCTTTAGCTAAGAGAAAAACATCTAATTCTCAGCTACTTCCAGGCATAATTGCAACAAAATCAGACCCAATATTGAAGATTCACGTTTGCTGTGTGTTTTACCATAATAAAAGTTCGAAATTCTGTGAACTCTCTTAATAAAATGTTCCAATTTCTTACACCCTTTCATGATGACGTTCTCTTAAAGGACTAACTTGAAATTTTCAACATTCAGTTAAGCCCATTTCCTTCCTATTAACAATCAGTATTCAATATTGTGGCACGTAAGTAATACTGTAGTTCTGACAGATTAATTTATATTTGCCTTATTAAGAGTCGTTGCTTTTTTTGCTCCCCGACTTAAATTTTTTTTGTTTTTCCCCAATCTATACGAATAAAAGCGTGAACTATATGTGAAATAGCTGAAGCTCCACTTCCATTATAAATAGACAATGTCCCAAATTGCCGTTTTACAAACATTCTCAATAGCATCAGCCAGTGATAGCAATCCGAATACTCCAGAGAGAATGCGACCAAAACCCACAACAAGCCCCGTGGTCTAGCACAGCAAAGAGAAAAAAAGAGAACACGAAAATGCCCTTGCTCCCCTCCGGGGGCCCCTTTTGTGCGGTTCTTGCCAACGCAGCAGCCCTCCTGCTATATAGCCCGCCGCGCCGCAGCCCCACCCGCTCAGCGCCGCCGCCCCACCAGCTCAGCACCGCCGTGCGCCCAGCCAGCCATGGGGAAGGTGAGCCCAGCCTGCGCCCCGGGACCCCGGAGCTTCCTCCATCGCGGGGGCCAGAGACTGGGGCAGGAGCAGGCCTGTGAGACCTCGCCTTGTCCCGCCTTGCCTTGCAGATCACCCTCTACGAGGACCGGGGCTTCCAGGGCCGCCACTATGAATGCAGCAGCGACCACCCCAACCTGCAGCCCTACTTGAGCCGCTGCAACTCGGCGCGCGTGGACAGCGGCTGCTGGATGCTCTATGAGCAGCCCAACTACTCGGGCCTCCAGTACTTCCTGCGCCGCGGCGACTATGCCGACCACCAGCAGTGGATGGGCCTCAGCGACTCGGTCCGCTCCTGCCGCCTCATCCCCCACGTGAGTACATCCTCAAGTCAGGACCCAGGCCCTCAGGACACTCACTGGATGGTTTCAAGCAAAAGTTAAACATTAGAAGTAGTGATCAGTCACAATAACTGAGAGTGGACAAAAGATGAACTATAGTGGATTAAGTCAATAGAGTTTGCTCCCCACATAAGCAAAGTATTACCCAGACACCAGTTAATCACAATTAATCCACAAATATGTATTGAGTAGGAATGTGTCTCCTGCCCTAGGGGTTGTATAAGACTTAAGTCCTATTCTGGAATCATTTAGAATGGAGTTGTAGAAAAACCACTAATACCCAATAGAAGAATAAATGCTAGAGCGTACAGCAGTTACTGAGCAAACAGGGTAATTTCTTTTGAGACTTTTTCCCGTTTTTGCTCCTCTCTTGCATATTTTGGGTTTTCCCAACCTATATAAGTAAGACTTTCCTTCAAAGGAGAGCAACACACATATTTTACACATGTGTCCCTTTTATCCCATATGTGTGTTAGAACACTAAAGTTTATGCAAAATTCGTCCTTGGACTTACTGATGTTTCTTCCTCCATTTTTCTTCATTGCATTCACAAGTTATTGACTTAGAATTAATTGTTCTTTAATATATGAAGATATTTAACATTTTATATTTTAATATATTTTAAATATTTATATTTTAATATATTTAAAACACTTATATTTTGAATAGAAGGCTTATATATTTAACATATTTTATTTATGTCATTGATTTAAATGATGCATTATCATTTAATTCAATATATTAAATGATATATTTAATATATTTTAAATACTTATATTTAAAATACATATTTTTATATTTTAAATATATTTACATTAAATATATTTAATGAATATAATGTATTTAATAATATATTTATTTAATAAATATGTATTTAATATATTTATATAACTACATAAATTATATTATATTTTAAATATATTTAACATATTTTAAATATATTTTAATATATTTTTAATATATTTCATTTACATTATATGTGTGTATATATATATTTTTGTTGTTGTTGTTTTGTTTTTGTTTTTTGAAACAGAGTCTCACTCTGACGCCCAGGCTGGAGTGCAGTGGTGCAATCTCGGCTCACTGCAACCTCCGCCTCCTGGATTCAAATGATTCTCGTCTCTCAGTCTCCTGAGTAGCTGGAGTTACAGGAGCACGCCACCACACCCAGCTAATTTTTGTATTTTTATTTTTATTTTATTTTATTTTATTATTTATTATTATTATTTTTTTTGACGAAGTCTTGCTCTGTTCCCCACGCTGGAGTGCAGTGGCATGATCTCGGCACACTGCAACCTCTGCTTCCTGGGCCCTAGCAATTTTCTTCCCAAGTAGCTGGGATTACAGGCACCCGCCACCACACCTGGCTAATTTTTGTATTTTTAGTATAGACAAGGTTTCGCCATATTCGTCAGGCTGGTCTTGAACTCCTGACCTCAAGTGATCCACCTGCCTCGGCTTCCCAGGGTGCTGGGACTACAGGCATGAGCCACTGCCCCACCCCTTATATTTCTGTATTTTAAATATATTTTATTTATATTTTAGTAAAGTTATTTTAAAATAAAATATAATTTGTAAAATAAATATAATTTTAATTTATACTTATAAAATATAATTTGAATATAATTATTAAAATAAAATATGATTAACTTTAAATAAAATATAATTTTATACATTTTATAATATATTTTAAATATAGTATATAATTAAATATGTATTAGATATCATATGTATATTAAAATTATACATTATTTAAATATATTTCTTTATAATTTAATGTTTATTTTAATATTAAAACATTTCTTCAAAATGGTATAAAATAGTAATAAGCTGTTACAGGTTTGGATTTGCATGTGGTACAGGATACTGAGCCTAGGAGGCAGCTCATCCTAAGAAATAGCTGAATATATTAAAGAGTGAGATTTCCTTCTCAATTTCTTCACCACACTTCATAATCTTGAAAAGGTACTGAATCTCTGTGCTCGGTAATGAGGAGTTTATAAATATTCAGAATTAATTAAATTTTACCATGTATTTCAAAATGGCTTGAGCGGGTCCTCACCAAGCTGGACTGCCTAACAATGCATTGGAATCATTTCACACTTGCTTTTCTTCTCTTTTTATTTCTGGGTCCGCCAGTCTGGCTCTCACAGGATCAGACTCTATGAGAGAGAGGACTACAGAGGCCAGATGATAGAGTTCACTGAGGACTGCTCCTGTCTTCAGGACCGCTTCCGCTTCAATGAAATCCACTCCCTCAACGTGCTGGAGGGCTCCTGGGTCCTCTACGAGCTGTCCAACTACCGAGGACGGCAGTACCTGCTGATGCCAGGGGACTATAGGCGCTACCAGGACTGGGGGGCCACGAATGCCAGAGTGGGCTCTCTGAGGAGAGTCATAGATTTCTCCTGAAATATGTCCTCTTTTGTTGTTTCTTAATTTGGAAACTAATAAAATATTTTCTGTGTGTTCCTGGCACTGATTTGCTTGTGTCTTTCTTTACTTTGCCCTACTTCTATCTTATTTTATTTACACACACGAGGCAAATGGCAACCAAGATGTGTAATACATAGATAACAAAGGAAGTTCTCACAACAGAATGACGTCTTCATATTAAGTAGAACTTAACAGTTTGCAAAAGTTTCATAATTCATTATCTCATTTGATTCTCTGGCCTTTAAACAGCTTGCTGCTTCAAACCAGATTATCAGAAATCTGTTTAGATTTCAGTTTTTCTTTGAGGAGTGAGGACCTGAAAACGTAGGTTCAGATAGTGTGACCCACTTTTTCAATCAGGGATTCTGAACCTGGGTACCATAACGCGCGTCCATTTTTGAATTCTCTAAAATTGTATGCAAAAGTTGAGTTCACAAATCTCTGTCCGACTCCCTTACTACAGAGGTGGTCATGTGGCCTTCCTCTGGCCATCGAATCAGAAGTGAGAAATGATGATAGGGAGGGAGAAGAGATGGTTCTGGAAAAACTTGTGCCTTTCTAATGAAAGAGAGCAGATGACCCTGATGCCAAAGTTCCCTCTTATTTCTTACACTCAAGAAATGACAGCTGTGAGAGAAAGGCCAGGAGAATTTCAGAAATGTTGGCCTAGATGTGGCTGAGCCCCTGGACCATGCTAACAACCTTTTACCTTCAGACTTCTTGTAATGGCAGTCAAATAAACCACATTTTGTTTAAGCCCCTATAGCTGGGTATTCTGTTATCTGCAGTTCAACACACATTTCTAGCTGATGTAGAGTATATGTGAATTTTCCTTAGGTAACTGTATAGAATTTTATTTAGAGACATTCTTAATTTTAAAATTAAAAAAAAAAACAAAGAAAAAAGACGGGAGAACACACACGTGGACACAAAGAAGGGAACAACAGACACTGGACCTGTTGGAGGGTGGAGGGTGGGAGGAGGGAGAGAATCAGAAGAAATAACTATTGGATACTAGGCCTAGTAGCTGGGTGATGAAATAACCTGTACAACAAACCCCCGTGACACAAGTTTACCTACATAGCAAACATGCACATGTACCCCGAGCCTAAAATAAAAGTTGAAAAAAAAAAAAGGGGAGGAGAGAAAAAGAAAGAAAGGGAAGGAGGGGGAGAGAGAGGCACAGAGAGGGGCCATTACAGAACATTGTAGTTATAAGATAAGATGGTTAATATATTTTAAATCCGTAGATCATCTAACCTAGATAACTCATTTTATGTACAGTAAACTGAGGTCTAATTCCAAGGTCACACCAATAACAGAGGTGGAATCAGAAGCCAGAATCACAGCTCAGAAACTGCTGGTTTTCTATTATGAAATCAGGAAGATTTTGGCCAGGTGTGGTGGCTCACACCTGTAATCCCAGCACTTTGGGAGGCCGAGGTGGGCGGATCACCTTAGATCAGGAGTTTGAGACCAGCCTGGGCAACATGGTAAAACCCCGTCTCTACTAAAAATACAAAAATTAGCTGGGCGTGGTGGCAGGTGCCTGTAATCCCAGCTACTTAGGAGGCTGAGGCAGGAGAACTGCTTGAGCTCAGGAGGTGGAGGTTGCAGTGAGCTGAGATCACACCACTGCACTCCAGTCTGGGCGACAGAGCGAGACCCCGTCTCAAAAAAAAAAAAAAAATCAGGAAGATTTTATAAAATCTATTGTGAAATTTTGTGAAAGTAATGACAACACTAAATCATAGATTCTTACCATGAGGTCGTTGCAAACAACCAACCAGGAATTGAATTAAAAATATTGAATAATCCAAAGCTGCATTCTCTGAATACACATGGGCACACACATACAGTTATATATATTTATATAACCTCATCCAATGTACGTTTGTGTGTGTCAATATACTATGTATAAGGCTGTCCTACAATATATTCACTTACATTGGTTCTTTTCCTACCTCTTATTCTGTCTTATTTGTACTCTCATTGCTAGAATTTTAGAAAGGAGGAGTCACTATGTAAGTGCTTAGAGGCTAATCTGATCATGTCGTTTCTCTGATTAAAAACCTTTGATGTTCCTTCACTTCCCATAGGAAAACATTCAAATTCCTGGGATCCTGACCCCCAGCCTATCTACCTCATCTCCTATTTCCTGACCTCAGCTGTCCTTCCTTCCCATCTCACCTGAGTCCTCCAAGCACACCAAACACTTTCACATCTCTTTGCCCTTACTTATATCTTTTCCTCACCAGGATTTCTCTTATGCACCTTCTCCCTGGTGAGTTACTCAGCCTTTAACCAGATCAAAATTCATCCTAATCCCACAGCCAGAAATGGATCTGACTTAATGCTTTAGACTGAAAGTAGCAGCAACTTCATATTAAATAGATAAGCAAGATGGAAATCTACTAGCTCACATGACAAGAAGTCTTGGGAGCATAGGGTTTAGGGATGGTTGATTCAGCAGCTCAACAACATCATCAGGACCCCAGGTTTTCTCTGACTCCCGCGGCATTTAGCATCTGCGTCATCCTAAAGCTGGTATCCCTGGTAACCATAGAATCTATTAGCTGCAACTGGGGCAATAGACAAGAAAGGGTGAATGAAGAAACACAATAGCAGTCTTAGCCTATAACACAATTGTGTCCAGAGCACAAATTCCCAGGATTGAAGAGAACCTTAAAATATTATCCCATTCTTGAGTGTGACCTTTGGTGTTATAGGGAAATCAGAACGAACTGAATAAAGGGAGAAAGAAGGATGAAGTCCAAGGAGGAAAGGGTACAAATAGAGAAAAAAATTGTTTAAGATGTCAATTATATTCAATAATCTTTTATTTCTCTTTATAAAGTAAGAGAACTGTAAGGTTTGTTTTTGTTTTTGTTTTTGTTTTTGAGACGGAGTCTTGCTCTGCCGCCCAAGCTGGAGTGCAGTGGCGCAATCTCTGCTCACTGCAAGCTCCGCCTCCTGGGTTCACGCCATTCTCCTGCCTCAGCCTCCCGAGTAGCTGGGACTACAGGCACCGACCACCACGCCCGGCTAATTTTATTTTGTATTTTTAGTAGAGACAGGGTTTCACTGTGTTAGCCAGGTTTGTCTTGATCTCTTGACCTCGTGATCCGCTCACCTCGGCCCCCCAAAGTGCTGGGATTACAAGCGTGAGCCACCACGCCTGGCCAGAATTTTTTTTTTTTTTTTTTTTTTTTGAGATAGAGAGGACAACAGGTAGGGAGTGCAGTGGTGCAATCTCAGCTCACCGCAACCTCCGTCTCCTGGGTTCAAGATTCTCCTGCCTCAGCCTCCCCAGTAGCTGGAATAACAGGCATATGCTGCCACGCCCAGCTAATTTTTGTATTTTTAGTTAGAGATGAGGTTTCACCATGTTGACCAGGCTGGTCTCGAACTCCTGACCTCAAGTGACCCACCTGCCTCGGCCTCCCAAAGTGCTGGGATTACAGATGTGAGCCACTGTGCCCGGCTGACTATAAGAAATTTAAAGTAAACTTTGTTTTAGACACTCTTTAACTCGTTTATAATCCATGGAATTCATCCTGTCTTGGGAGGCAATTCAGATGGTACCAAATATTGGCAAACATTTACACTTCTTCAGTCCTTTGTGATAATGAGGAGTTGAATGTCACAAGAATAGCAGAGGGAGAAATATGAACTAACTTTTGAGCATACTTCTAGGAATCTATCTAAGAAACAAATCCTAAACATGAAAAAAAGTGTTATGCACAAACTACTCACTCAATATTTATTATAATAAAACTGTAGCAGGACTAGCCACAGACAAAACCCCTCAGACACCAAGTTAAAGAAGGAAAGGCTTTATTCAGCCAGGAGCTTCAGCAAGACTCACGTCTCCAAAAACCGAGCTCCCCGAGTGAGCAACTCCTGTCCCATTTAAGGGCTTAAAACTCTAAGGGGGTCTGCTTGAGAGGGTCGTGATGGATTGAGCAAGCAGGCAGTACATGACTGGGGGCTGCATGCACTGGTAATCAGAATGGAACAGAACAGGACAGGGATTTTCACAATGTTTTTCCATACAATGTCTGGAATCTATAGATAACAGAACCGGTTAGGTCAGGGGTCGATCTTTAACCAGGCCCAGGGCGTGGCGCCGGGCTGTCTGCCTGTGGATTTCATTTCTGCCTTTTAGTTTTTACTTATTCTTTCTTTGGGGGCAGAAATTGGGCATAGGACAATATGAGGGGTGGTCTCGTCCCTTATTTCCCCGCTTTGAGAACCTCACTCATTAGTGGCAGTGTCACTTTTATTTTCATTACCTGTGTCTTCTTGCAAGACAGATCGATAGTGATTCATATAGTACACTTGTGCTGAAGCATTTTGGTGAACTAAGGTAGTGATGAAGCTTTTTATCATTTGAAGAAGTACAGGTAACAAACAAGGGAGCAGTAAGCACGTTCCTATTACTATCACAACTCCTATTATAAGAGTTTCAAATTCTCCTAGTGCCGAGAACCATTTTTCAAACATGGCCCCAGGATCAAATCCATGCCACACTTGCACAGGCACATGTGCCAGTTTTGTCATATCTCTATGTCTTCAACTACCTTCCCTTGATCATCTGTGTGTACACAGCAATTAGTAAGGTAAATTTCCCACAGACCCCTCCTTTAGCTGCTAGCAAGTAGTCGAGAGCCAATCTATTTTGATAGACAGCATTTCTCATCCGAGTTTCTTGCCAGGCCACAATAGTCAAGGCTCTGTCAGTCTTATTAATGATTATTTCTAAGACAGCTTGTAACCGTATGATTCAATTGAGCATGTAAATGGGGGTCTGGTATCCCCACGAGCTGTCTTGTGCCCAAGTAGCAGTTATGTTCAGCTGGGCTCTCTGATACCAGGAGCAAGGTGGTGGGGTTTAGGGTGTTGCAAACTTCAATGGTTATGTGGGGATTTTCACATAGGAAGCTTTGGCACTTGGTTAATCTAGCATTTGCTAGCCAATGATGTCCTTTGGTATTCATCAAAGTTACCACAGCATGGAGGGGCCTTTATATTCAGGTTTTGCCCAAGAGTTAGTTTATCTGCTTCTTGTGCTAACAGGGCCGTTGCTGCCAGGGCCCTTAGACATGGGGGCCAGCCTTTGGAAACCCTGTCCAGTTGTTTTGAGAGATAGGCCACTGACCTTGGCCAGGGCCCCACAGTCTGGGTTAAAACTCCAACTGCCATTTTTTCTCTTTCTGTCACATAGAGTGTAAAGGGTTTTGCCAGTTCAGGTAGCCCCAGGGCTGGGGCCAACATGAGTTTTTTCTTTTAACTCATGAAAAGCTCATTGCTGTTGGTTGTAATAGATGTAGTTTATCCAATCTACATTTTTATTAACCGTCACCCACCAAAATATTGACTCAAATCCTGCAGCTATTTGATTTTAAGCTTTAAATTGATCTGGTATTCCCCGTGGGACTTCAATTGCTTCTAAATAGACGTGAGAGTCGAAAGACCCATAAGGGGCTTTTCTCGCTTTACAATGTCTTATTTTTCCTCCCTCTGGTTGACAAAATCCCAGGGCGAAAGGCAAGCCAATTGGACTGAAGTACAAGTGCCACTCCAGTTATTCGGCCACAATACCACCACACATCCGCTCGGGGATGAACGAGGGCTGACTGATTGATAAGCTCTTGAAAATTCTTAAGCTCACTGCATCCCTTCAGGTCTCCAAGGAACTCTAAGTTTCCTCCCTGTTGTGAGAGTCATGAAGTGAACTTAGTGTTGGGAGACGGAAACTGGATGGCCCTTGGGGGCTGACCTGCAGGGTGCTGGACTTTGGGATATAGCAGAGAGAGCTTGGCACAACTTATTACTCCAGGCTGTAGAATCCTGGAAAAGAGCTACCATGCAGTCCACGCCTGGGCGACTGGAGGACCACCTTAGTGGAAAGGGGACAATCTGGGCCTCTGACCTGCCCTGCGCACAAGCATAACAATTGCTTTTGTTTAACGTGCTGATGGAATATTTGATCCATTCCAACCAGGTATTTGCATCTTGGTATCCTGTCTTAATTGACAAAGTTTGTTTTAAGTCTTTAACTTTTATGATCCTCTAGTAAAATGAACATATGATTTTAGGAAATTACAAAAACCGGTCGGGGCAGTCCATCCTTGCTCTTTAGTGGTCCACAGAATGTTGGACAAACTGCGGCATAAAAGCTCTACATTGAGGGGCAAGACTCCTGGTTGACACTGGAGTCTTTAATCAAAATTTCCCCAGATTAAATGGTCCTAATTTACTAATGCCCAGTCTGAGGAGAGTCAGGAGGGACAGAGGTACTTTTCTGAAGTAGAGAGCTGTCTTTGACTTGGCAAGTCCCCACAGGGTATACCCACAGGGTATAACAAGGAAAGCATTAAATGCAATAGTTTGAGGTGAAATTGACTTGGTTATGGTAATAACTAGATGGTCAGTAATAGAGCGAGAAAAGAAGAAAGAGTAATAGAATAGATGAAAAAGTTAAATTTTTCTTAGCTTAGTTTGGTAGGGTTTTCCCCTGGGACTATGGCCCACGACTCTGGAGAGGGTGGCACTTTCTTGACTCGGTTGTGATGAGTCCATCCTTTTTTCGCTGTACGAACAGAAGTCTCGGTGGTTAGCAGCACAAGGGTCCTTCGTAGGCTGGTTCGAGTTTCCTTTTTTTTCACCCTTTGATGAGAACGTGATCTTCAGGCTGGTGCTGGTTTACCAGAAATTCTAGGGGTGGTACATGTGCTAAAAGACTTTTAGTTTTGAGGGAAACTCTGTATTCATTAAACCATAACTCCCCAATCCTACCTCCCCCAATCCCTGGTAACTGCCATTCCACTTCCTGTCTTTACGAAACTGACTATTCTAGGTACCTCAAATAAACGGAATCATACAATATTTGTTCCTCTGTGTCTGATTTATTTCCCTTCACATGTTTTCAAGGTTCTTCCATATGTGCCATGTGTCAGCATTCCTTATTAGGAATAAGGAATAAGGAACTTCCAACTTTGTTTTTTGCAAGACTAATTTGTTGATTTGGGGTCCCTTGAGATTCCAGATGAATTTTAGGATAGATTTTTCTCTTTCTGCATAAGGAAATCATTGAGATTTGATAGGGATTGCACTAAATCTGCAGATTGCTTTGAGTAGTACTGATGTATTAACAATATTGTCTTCCAATCCATTAACATAGGATGTGTTTCCACTTATTTATGTCTTCTTTAATTTCTTTCAATATTTTGTAATTTTCAGAGTATAATATACTTGTTTTTTTTTTTAACTTGACATATGGTAAGCATTTTCCATACCCTTAAATAAATTCTTTGACAACATGATTTTTGGTAGCTGCATAGCATCTCATCAAACAAGTGTTCCATGATTTATTTAAACAATGCCCTATTCTGGACATTTTATTTGTATCTAATTTTCTATATTATAAACACCATTCTGATAAAATATCACTGTTCATAATCTTTGTATGCATCTTTAATTTTTTCCATTGGACAAATTCCTAGAGATGGAAATATTAGATCACAGGTGTGAGAATTAGGAGTTTTTAAATATACATCAACAGTGCTACTTTTTATACAAAACTACGGCTTAAAATCTTTTCTCCTTTCTACTGCTTTATAGTTTCTAAATTTTCCACAAAAGTTATAATTTTTAAAAGAGAAATATGTAAATGAGGCTTATTAAACTTACGTGGATCACATAAAATTTGTCCAGAGAAAGCTATTTTTTAGTATTAGACTTAGGTAGCAAGAATCCAAACTAAGGAGTGAGACTGGGTGCACCAAAGTTATTCTAAATCAGTGGTTCTTAGTGCGGATGGGGAGTGGATTTGCTTTCCAGGGAACCTTTGGCAATGTCTGCAGACAGTTCTGCTTGTCACGACCGGACAGTAATGCTACCGGTACCCAGATGGTAGAGGCCAGGATGCTGCTCAATGTCCTGCAATGCACAGGACAGCCTCCCCACCCAGCAGATAATTTTTTGGGCCCCAAATGTCAAAAGAGTGCTGCGGTTGAGAAACCTTGCTCTAAAGAGAGTGGAACACCAGGAGGGACAGGGTCCCGGCAAAAGGAAGGAAGACCCCAGTCCCTGGAGTCAGAGCCTTAACTAGAGAGCCACGAGGGTTTTGCCCCAGGGTGAAGAAGGCAGAATCTTTGCAAGATTGCAGGATCTTCAATGTGTTATATTTGCATGTTAACTTGCATTTGTCAGCAGCTAGAACCAACTAAGCTTAGCCTTTAGTTAGCAAAGTTGTTAAATAGAAAGTTACCAGTGTAATAACCGCCAAAGTGTCACTTCATGAATCCCACAGTTGAGAGTTTCATTGCCTGTGCTGAGGCAGGCACGGTGCTGAAGCTGAAGACTTCCCTGCTTCCACCCAGGCTCCAGGGATCAGAGCTGAGGCCAGGTGCCTAAATAGGGCTTCCCCAGGCCCAACCCCTGGCGTCCAACCTCCTGCATTAGTTATCTGATACCCTGCTTATCAGCAGGTAGGATCATAGAGAGGTTCTCTTAAAGGAGAATCACATCCTACTGTAAACAGCCCGAGGAGAAGGCAAGTTCATCCTCACGTTTCACATTTCACACCAATCTAAACAATACAGCCTCATGCTGTAGTCTATTTCGACCTTAGACTTGGTCGCTATTCTGCTTTGTTGCTCAAACTGAACTTTTAAAAGGTAAATAAAACATTTAATTACAATTACTAACTCTTAAGCACTTGCTCAATTCCAATTTCCCAAATAGGCTTTATGTAAAGGCCCAAATGGCACTAAGTGACAGTTTTAACCAGATCATCAATTCGAAAGCTTTAGAGAGTCTAAAAGAAAACATACAATAAACCTCCCACCCCCTCCCCTACAGTCATTATATGGAACAGAGAGAGAGAGAAAAAAAAATGCCCTTGCTCCCCTCCGGGGGCCCCTTTTGTGCGGTTCTTGCCAACACAGCAGCCCTCCTGCTATATAGCCCCGCCGCGCTGCCGCCCCACCCGCTCAGCCCCGCCGTGCGCCCAGCCAGCCATGGGGAAGGTGAGCCCAGCCCGTGCCCCCCGGTAGCTCCCTGCATGGCGGGGGCCGGAGACTGGGGCAGGGGCAGGCCTGTGAGACCTCGCCTTGCCTCGCCTTGCCTTGCAGATCACCCTCTACGAGGACCGGGGCTTCCAGGGCCGCCACTACGAATGCAGCAGCGACCACCCCAACCTGCAGCCCTACTTGAGCCGCTGCAACTCGGTGCGCGTGGACAGCGGCTGCTGGGTGCTCTATGAGCAGCCCAACTACTCGGGCCTCCAGTAGTTCCTGCGCCGCGGCGACTATGCCGACCACCAGCAGTGGATGGGCCTCAGCGACTCGGTCCGCTCCTGCCGCCTCATCCCCCACGTGAGTGCAGTCCCACCCGGGCCCTTCCGTGCCCTCGAGTCGCATCAGTGATCCACGTGGATGATTCACACGACAGGCGATGGGATGCGATGGCAGGCTTCTTTTTTCTGGCTCTAACTATATTCTCTTTTCCTTTATTAACATGCGTAAGGTTTCCTCCCACTGAAAAAGTATGTGATGCAGTGCTTTTAACTGGTCATTTTATTTTATTTTGCTAAAGTCAAATTCACCTCTACTGGGAATAAGTTGTGCGTGGCATTAGCTCAGAGCGTCTATGCCACAGGTGATGAAACAGCAACAGATTAATTCCTTGCTCTCAGGTGGCCATAGGCTAGGTGGCTATTTCTTTTACGTCATCTGTAAAAAGGGCTGATGAGAGTAGTTCCTTTATAGGGTTCCAATGAGGGTAAAAGGAGGGTGCCTGGCACATGCCAATCCCCAACCCCGAGTATTAACTATTATTATGAACATCAAGGGTCTCTCAAGTCCTGCCTTCTGATTGGGCAAACCAGTAACCAACAATGAGATTCCAATAGCTCCTGCAGGGCCCACTGTTACCTAAATGAAGCCCCAGCAGCCTGAAATTTCACAGTTAGGGATTCCCTAAGTTGACTGTGACAGAGTCCCGGGAAAATGAACCACTTTTGTGAAGTCTGAAATCCCCTCACAGGGTTTAATAGCTGGATAAGGACCCAGTCTGGCATTGGAGCCCAAAAACTTAGATTTCTAATTTCAAGTACCAACTCTTCTAATTACAGACTGTAAGATCCACTTCACTAGCAGTCACTCAAACCTCAAAAAGAATTGCTCATGAGAATCTTCCCTAAAGAAGATACATACATATATATATATGTATATATGTGTGTGTATATATGTATATATATATATAGAGAGAGAGAGAGAGAGAGAGAAAGTCTCAAAGTCAGATTTGAGAAGGAAATGACATTACTGATCAGCTCTTAACCGAGACAGAAAAAATGTCATTAGAAGGCTCAGAAGGGGATCTAGAACCTGAGCTCCAAGCAGAAAAGATTTTTTTTCTTTTTTTGAGATGGAGTCTCGCTCTGTCGTCCAGGTTGGAGTACAGTGGCGTGATCTCGGCTCACTGCAACCTCCACCTCCCGAGTTCAGGCAATTCTCCTTTCTCAGCCTCCAGAGTAGCTGAGATTACAGGCACACGCCACCACACCTGGCTAATTTTTGTATTTTTAGTAGAGACGAGGTTTCACAATATTGGTCAGGCTGGGGAGGGGGGAGGGATAGCTTTAGGAGATATACCTAATGCTAAATGACGAGTTAATGGGTGCAGCACACCAGCATGGCACATAAGCCATTGTGCCTGGCCCCTAAAGAATATTTTAATGTGGAGGAAGAAAAACGTTGAGACAATGGGAAGGAACAAACAAATGAAGGAAGAACAAGTGCTCAAAACAAGAGACATGGCCAGGCGTGGTGGCTTACACCTGTAATCCCAGCACTTTGGAAGGCCGAGGCGGGCAGATTACCTGAGGTCAGGAGTTCGAGACCAGCCTGGCCAACATGGTGAAACCTTGTCTCTACTAAAAATAATTAGCCAGGCGTGGTGGCAGGCGCCTGTAGTGCCAGCTACTCGGGAGGCTGAGGCAGGAGAATTGTTTGAACCTGGGAGGTGGAGGTTGCAGTGAGCCAAGATTGTGCCACTGCACTCTAGCCTGGGTGACAGAGTGAGACTCCGTCTCAAAACAAAACAAAACAAAACAAAACAAAACAAAACAAAACAAACAAACAAAAACCGACAGAGACAAGAATAGCTCAGGACAAACAGCCTAAGTTTCCATTTTTCTAAAGGTTTCACACTCTTGAACCTGTACAGGCCTCCTTAACGATCTTTTTTTAGGCCAGGCGTGGTGGCTCACGCCTGTAATCCCAGCACTTTGGGAGGCCGAGGCGGGTGGATCACGAGGTCAGGAGATTCAGACCATTCTAGCTAACACGGTGAAACCCCGTCTCTACTAAAAATACAAAAAAATAGCCGGGCGTGGTGGCGGGTCTGTAGTCCCAGCTACTCGGGAGGCTCAGGCAGAAGAATGGTGTGAACCCGGGAGGCGGAGCTTGCCGTGAGCCGAGACTGCGCCACTGCACTCCAGCCTGGGCGATAGAGTGAGACTCCGTCTCGGGGAAAAAAAAAAAAAAGATATTTTTTTAAGACAAGGTTTCTCTCTGTCACCCAGACTGGCTTGAGTGGTGTGATCATAGTTCACTGAAGCCTGAGCTCAAGTGATTTTCCCGCCTCAGCCTCCTGAGTAGCTGGGACCACAGGTGCACACCACTATGCCCAGCTAAACTTTTTTTTTTTTTTTTTGGTAGAGACAGGGTCTCACTGTGTTGTCTATGCTGGTCTTGAACTCCTGGGCTCAAGCAATCCTTCCACCCTGGCCTTCCAAAGTGATGGGATTACAGGCATGAACCACCCTGCCCAGCTGCTCCTTCATGATCTTGAACTTCCATTTTTCGGTATTACCTAAAACTGATTTGTAAGAGCACATGTTGGAGCTAAGAACTGAAACCTAGTTCTCTTTGTGACGGCTCTTGCTTTTCAGCATGTTTGAGTAGCAGGGCTTAAAGCAGAAAAGCACGGATGAAGGATTGCTTGCGCTGGACTTTCTTCCTGTATTGCCACCAATCTGAGCCTCATTTGGGTAAAAGCAATTCAACCTGCTCTCCCTCTAGCTTCTCCTAATGCTATTGAGATTCAAAATAATATATTTTGCCAGGAATATATTTGCCTTTTTGTTTTAAAATCTTAATATTTGCCAGGCGCGGTGGCTCACGTCTGTAATTCCAGCACTTTGGGAGGCCAAGGCAGGCGGATCACGAGGTCAGGAGATCGAGACCATCCTGGCTAACATGGTGAAACCCCATCTCTACTAAAAATACAAAAAATTAGCCGGGCGCGGTGGCGGGCGCCTGTAATCCCGGCTACTCGGGAGGCTGAGTCAGGAGAATGGCGTGAACCCGGGAGGCGGAGCTTGCAGTGAGCCGAGATCGCACCACTGTACTCCAGCCTGGGCGACAGAGCGAGACTCCATCTCAAAAAAAAAAAAAACATAAAAACATTATTTTATGTGTCATCCAACAAGAGCCCAAACCACCACAAATTTATGAAGGAGAGAACAAAACAAACAAAACAAATACAAAAAATATTTAAAAGTGGTCCTGAGCAGGACAAGTGTGTCTATTCATGTAGATTGTAACAGAAAACCCTAGGGAGCACCATTCATACCAAATGAATGGGGAGTGGTGTCCTCTTGAGTTTCACAGTGTACAACCTACCCAACTATACACAGCAGCCCTGGTGTTGGCAGTGTCTTTGTTTTAGCTTGGTCACTTTTGATATAGGAAATTTTTTTTTTTTTTTTTTTGGAGACGGAGTCTCACTCTGTCCCCCAGGCTGGAGTGCAGTGGCGCGATCTTGGCTCACTGCAAGCTCTGCCTCCTGGGTTCATCCCATTCTCCTGCCTCAGCCTCCCAAGTAGCTGGGACTACAGGCGCCTACCACTACCCCCGGCTAATTTTGTTTTTGTATTTTTAGTAGAGACAGGGTTTCACTGTGTTAGCCAGGATGGTCTCGATCTCCTGACCTCGTGATCCACCTGCCTCGGCCTCCCAAAGTGCTGGGATTATAGGTGTGAGCCACTGCTCCCGGCCTAGAAAAAAAATTTTTTAGGTCCATCCCCCAGGAAGTCAGGTTTTCTGACGTTCCCTCATCTGCTGTTTGCTGAACCCCCAGGCCAGCTCCCACAGGCTCAGGATCTATGAGCGAGAGGACTACAGGGGCCAGATGGTGGAGATCACTGAGGACTGCTCCTCTCTTCACGACCGCTTCCACCTCAGTGAGATCCACTCCTTCAACGTGCTGGAGGGCTCCTGGGTCCTCTACGAGCTGCCCAACTACCAGGGGCGGCAGTACCTGCTGAGGCCGGGGGACTGCAGGTGGTGTCAGGACTGGGGGGCCACGGATGCGAGAGTGGGCTCCCTAAGGAGAGCTGTGGAGCTCTACTGAAATGTTTGTACTCTATCCCTTGCTTCATCTGGAAACTAATAAAATATTTCCTGTGTGTTCTATGCAGTAATGTATCCTCTGTTCCTTTCAGCCTCCTTGGAAGGGCTCAGCAAAAATCATGCTGGGAATCATGTGGATTTTCTTGCATGTATCAGTGGAAAGGGGGTGTGAGGCAGCTGTTAAGAGCACAGCCTCTGGGGCCAGAATGCTGGGCCCAACTCTACTTACTAGTTATAGTTGTGGAGCAAGTTACTTAGCATCTCTGTCCCTCAGTTTCCTAATATGTAAAAATGGGGGTTAATAGTACTTTTCACCTCATGAGGATTAAATGTGGATTAAATGAGTTTATAGTTCTCTAACAACAGTGCCAAGTATGAAGTAACCACTATGTTTAAGTATTTGTAACATAACTGTTTATTATTATTCAGTATTTGCACCTTATAAATTACTGTTTCTCAAAGTATCTATAATGGGTTAAACATCACCTGGGATACTTCTTAAAATGCGGATTCCTTGAGCCCACTGCCTCCCCCACAGTAATTTTTATGCAAATGAAATTTGAGAACCACAGTTCTTTTTTTTTTTTTTTTTTAACGACAGGATTTCACTCTGTCACCCAGGTTGGAGTGCAGTGGTGTGATCACGGCTCACTGAAGCCTCAGCCACCCCAGGTTCAGGTGATCCTCCCACCTCAGTCTCCCAAGTAGCTGGGACTACGGGCACATGCCACTACACCCAGCTAATTTTTGTATTTTTTGTAGAGACAGGGTTTTTTGCCATGTTGCCCAGGCTGGTCTCGAACTCCTGGACTGAAGCAATTCGCCCGCCTCAACCTCCCAAAGTGCTAGGATTACAGGTGTGAGCCACCACGCCCGGCCTTGAGAACCACAGTTCTAAATCCACTTTCTTGTAGTACAGAATTGCATCCAAAAAGATGAACACCTCTATTTAGACGCTTTGCTCTGCACTGGGAAACAACCATGAATAGGCCAGTATCCTGGCCCCCAGGAGTCCACAGTCTAGGGCCGTGAGCAGAAGATCCAAAATAATTTTTGAAATCATGACCCCAGTAGCATAATAGATGGATGCATGTCCACAGGGCTGTGGGTGCATGGAGGAAGACGCTCAAGACATTTATCAGAGTATTGTGAGATGCTCCAAATGCAACCTCACCCATCGCTAGAAAGGACTTTGAATACTCCCAGTACCACACTCAGAACTGTGAGCAAACATCAAAGATACTGCTCCAAGATTCCCCGGGTAAAATTTCTAACATTTTCTAGGAAAAAGAAATTGAAACAGAGTCATCATACTGACATGACAGGCGTTATAACAGAGGGATTTGAACCCTAAACTGTGGTAGGATTTAGACTGCTCGGGTTTGAATAGCAACTGTACCTTGCATGAGCCAGGCAAGAGTCTTAGGTTGAGTTCCTCCAGACACAGGTCATGAGCAAGGATTGGAAAGGAGGTGATTTACTGGGGAATGTGCTTCCAAGAAGAAAAGTGAAGGAGTAGGGAAGCAAGCCAGGGAAGGGGAAGAAGCCAGCTCAGGCTGATCCTTGGAGAGTCCTGGAGCATGGCTCACACTTCAACCTCTCCCTCCTTGAGGCCAACGATCTGGGTGCTTGTGTTCCTACACCAGTTCCTTCTGTCACTGGCAAGGGGGGAGAGGGACACAAACTCCCAGAGCCTTTCCACTCTCCCCCCAGTGAGGGGTAATGTGCAGAAGTTTCCAGAGAAAGCATTTGCAGCCAAGCCCACAGGGGTCTGAGCATGCAGAGCTGGAAAAGAGGACCCAGGGGGATCTGGGCAGGGCATACCTGGCAGTATAATAGGGATCATAAATGGTCTACCTTATATAGTGTGGGGTTAAAATGATAAAATTACCATAAACACTTAACACACTGCCTGGCGCAGAGTAAGTGCTCACCAAGTGTCGACTATTACTATTAGGTTCTATGGATTTAGAGGAAATGGGTATAAAGGTGGTGGAAATGTCGTGAACTAATCTTGTCCCACAGGGAAGAAAGCATGGCACATAGGGGAAACACTGAATAATTCACCCTAACTGAAGTTTAGGGGCCCAGAGGGGAGAAGCAAGGGAGATGGTAGTCAGATGGTTAAAGCCAGATTTGAGAGGGACATGACATTATTCATTGTTGATCAGATCTTAACTGAGACAGAAGAGATGTCATTAGAAGGCTCAGAGAAGGATCTAGAACCTGAGCTCCAAAGCAAAAACGATTTTTTTTGAGACGGAGTCTTGCTCTGTCTGGCAGGCTGGAGTGCAGTGGCGCAATCTTGGCTCACTGCAGCCTCTGTCCCCTGGGTTCTAGAGATTCTCCTCCCTCAGCCTCCTAGGTAGCTGGGATTACAGGCGCACGCCACCATGCCCTGCTAATTTGTATTTTTAGTAGAGACGCAGTTTCGCCATGTTGGCCAGGCTGGTCTCAAACTCCTGACCTCGTGAACTGCCCGCCTCGGCCTCCCAAAGTGCTGGGATTACAGGTGTGAATCACTGCGCCCGGCCAACAAAAACGATTTTTTAAAACACACACACACACAAACAGAAGGAAAACGATGGAACAAGCAAAACCATTTCACATCCATATCAGCAAAAACCAATACAGGAGAAACACTGGTACATACAAAACATGAACACAGCTGCTTTCTCCACAAGCAAAGCAACCACACTCTCGAACCTGTGAATTTGAAAAGCTTGTTATATAAGAAAGAACACGTGCCCAGGCGTGGTGGCTCACTCCTGTAATCCCAGCACTTTGGGAGGCTGAAGCAGGCGGATCACGAGGTCAGGAGATTGAGACCATCCTGGCTAACATGGTGAAACCCCGTCTCTACTAAAAATACAAAAAATTAGCCAGGCTTGGTGGCAGGCGCCTGTAGTCCCAGCTACTCGGGAGGCTGAGGCAGGAGAATGGCGTGAACCCGGGAGGTGGAGCTTGCAGTGAGCCAAGATCGTGCCACTGCACTCCAGCCTGGGCAACAGAGTGAGACCCCATCTCAAAAAAAAAAAAAAAAAAAAGAACATGTGCTATTTAAAACCCTCGCATTCTTATTGTCATTCCTCTTGTTTCTATCCATCTGAACTATTCCAATAACATTTTAGGTCAGTTAACCACACCTAGTTCCTTCCAGCTTTCTTTAAACAACAATTTTTTTCCTCTAAAAGCAAAATTAGAATATTGAAAATACAATGTTTTGCAATACAGGTTGCTCCTGTTACTACCAATGGCTAAGGTTATTTGAAGAAACTTTACAATAAAAAGAAAAAGGAAGGGGAGAGGAAGAAAAAAGACAAGAGCTAGCAAGTTGCTGCAGTCATTTAGGCAAGAGAGAATGGTGGCTTCAGGCAGGTTGTAGCATTGACAGAGGTGAGAGGCAGTCGGATCTTGAATATATTAGGAAGGGAGAGCCGACAAAAACTCTGGATGGATTAGATGTGGGTGTGAGAGAGGTTTGGGCTGAGCGGCTATAAGAATGGAGTTGCTCCAACCGATACAGGGAGAACTACCAGGCGGAGTAGGTTTAGGAAAAAATCAGACATCTCGTTTTGGATGAGAAGAGTTTGAAAATATCCATGAATATCCAAGTGGAGTTATTAACCAGGCAGCTGGTTATACTAGCCTGCTCAAGAAAGAGGCGTGGGCTGGAGATCTGTGTTTCCAAATCATTAGACAGTAGGTGGTATTTAAAGTCCTAAGTTTGGATAGGATCACCAAAGGACTGTGTGTAGGTGTAGATGGAGAAGTCCCTGGGGCACCCCAGTTTTAAAGGCACAAAGCAAAGAAGAATGTATGCATCAGGAAGGGCTAACTCCTCCAACAAATGATGCCAAATGTTCAGCGACTTAGAGGTTGCAGTGAGCTGAGATCGCGCCATTGCACTCCAGCCTGGGCGATAAGAGCGAAACTCCATCTCAAAAAAAAAAAAAAAAAAGTTCAGCAGCTTAACATGATGAAAATATATCTTTCATTTAAAACAATAAATTAATTTTAAAAAACTCATGTTTTTTCTTGATGATAACTTCTTAGCCAGTTTTTTAGAACCCAGAACATAGAGGTCAGCAAGAACAATGCCAACACAATTAGTTAAATGGAATCAAAGTATTGTTTTCGATCATTTTTTATTTTTTGTCCATTGTACTAGAAAGTACTACCTACCAGGTAATCAAAAAATTTTTGAAAACTGAATTGAATACTAAAAAATATCATGCTGCCTATACACCCATATTTAGAATTATTAAGAAAGAGAATAAGATTTTGAAGCTTTAGTAAGTAAAACAACAAAAGCCAGGCAAACAATCAACTCCCTAGAGGAAGTCAGGGCAGCCTTTCTCCAGCAGGCATGCAAGCCATGAGAATCAGCTGGGCAGCTTTTAACGCAGACTCCCAGACCTCCTGAATCAGCAACCTTCAAGGAGCGCCCTGTGCATCTGTGAGGCTTAACCAGCTCTCCTGGGAAGGGTTATGATGTGGAACATTTGGGACCCACTGAATACAAGCCTTTCTTCTCAAAGTGTGGTCCAAAAACCAGTAGCACAGGGCATGCGCTGGGAACTTGTCAGAAAAGCAGAATCTCAGGCCTCACTCCAGACTTGCTGCCTCGGATTTTTATTTTATTTTATTTTATATTTTATTTTATTTTATGACAGGTTTTCACTCTGTTGCCCAGGCTGGAGTGCAGTGGTACAATCACAGCTCACTGCAGCCTCGAACTCCTGGGCTCAAGCGAGCCTTCTGCTTCAGCCTCCTGAGTAGCTGGGCCTACAGGGGTGCATCACCACACCTGACTTAAACAATTTTTTTTGTGGAGATAGGCATCTCCCTATGTTGCTCAGGCTGTTCTTGAACTTTTGGCCTAAGGGATCCCTCTGCCGTGGCCTCCCAAAGTGCTGGGATTACGGGCATGAGCCACCACACTCAGCGGCCTCCCAAAGTGCTGGGATTACGGGCATGAACCACCACACTCAGCCACCCATGGAGCTTTCTAAAAATGCTGATGCCTGGGCCCCACTGAGACATTAATTCTTTTTTTTCTTTTTTCTTTTTTTTTTTTTTTTTTG
This sequence comes from Homo sapiens, assembly GCF_000001405.40. Classification (NCBI taxonomy): domain Eukaryota; kingdom Metazoa; phylum Chordata; class Mammalia; order Primates; family Hominidae; genus Homo; species Homo sapiens. Next base: position 101,431 of record NW_018654710.1, on the reverse strand, counting down.
AGACGGAGTTTCACTCTTGTTGCCCAGGCTGGAGTAAAGTGGTGCGACCTCGGCTCACCGCAATCTCCGCCTCCTGGGTTCAAGCGATTCTCCTGCCTCAGCCTCCCAAGTAGCTGGGACTACAGGCACCTGCCAGCACGCCTGGCTAATTTTTTGTATTTTTAGTAGAGACGAGGTTTCACTATGTTGGCCAGGCTGCTGGTCTCGAACTCCTGACCTCGTTATCTGCCCACCTTGGCCGAGACCTTAATTCTGAAAATAATTACACAATTTTCAAATAATTTCTCTCCTCTGATTTACATTTTACTTAGGTATACTATTTTACTTATTTATTTTGGATATCCAAATATCCCTAATATTTAATAATGATAAAGCTTTATTGGAAAACAAGATTTGGATCCAGGACCAAGATGGGACTTATTGCTTCTTTCCAAATCAAACTAACCACCATCCACAGGCAGAGCAACTATGGATTGCAAATATTCTTTCCTGGGCCAGGACCTGGCCTGGTGACAGAGTCAGGCAGTGAACGTGGCGTGGACAGATGGCCCCAGCAGAGAGAGCCACAGAGACCCAGTGATGGTAACGAGGGGGCTATGACCCATTCCAAACTGAACTTTCTGTTGATTAGGCCACTGAACCATCTAAACACCCGGGAGACATTTACCTTGCTTAGGAACAAGATCATGAGACTATGAGGTCTACACAACTCAGCTGTGCTTAAATTCACCATCAGTGGAATTTATTATTAACAAGTGTTTCCATTCATGATTCGTGAATCTCCTTTTTCTTTGTACTCTGCTTCTCACATCTTCCTTTATTTTTGATTTGTGACTCTACTATTTCTTTTTCTTTTTTTAAGCAAAGAGTTGGAAGCCTTCTGTGCCACACAGAGACTAAATGGATAAAAATTCCTAAGTGCCAACTGTTTAAAGTAGCTTCCATCCCTTCCATTTAGAAAATGCTTTTATTTAGTCTGGATAAGAGCTCCACCCTGTGCTGGCCAGAAGGAAGGCAAGTATGATTTAAAAGCCTCACAAATAGAGATTATTCTGCACTTTTAAAATATGCTCAGCTATGCAGTATATATGCAGGTTAATCTTATAATTCAGCCAGTGGTTATTAAGCAAATATAAATTGTTTGAGATCTTTGTGACACATCCTAAGCATTTCCTAAGAGATAGTGAAGAGAGGCATGCCAATTGGTCTTGAGTTAGCCCCAGTGGGTGTGGCCTTTTTGAATGGACAATCCAGCATCTACACTGTGCTTTTTAAAAGAGCTCTGTGTCGGCTGGGAGAAGTGGCTCACACCTGTAATCCCAGCATTTTGGGACGCCAAGGCGGGAGGATCACCTGAGGTCAGGAGTTCTAGACCAGCCTGACCAACATAGCGAAACCCCGTCTCTACTAAAAATACAAAAAATTAACCAGGCATGGTGACTCGTGCCTGTAGTCTCAGCTACTTTGGAGGCTGAGGCAGGAAAATTGCTTGAACTGGGAAGTGAGGCTGCAGTGAGCCGAGATTGTTCCACTGCACTCCAGCCTGGGTGACAGAGTGAGACTCCATCTCAAAAAAATAAATAAACAAAAAAATAAAAGATCTCTATGTCTTCTTCCTCCATTTCTCAACGTCTGACAGGCCCACATGTAATTTATGAAACATTGAGTTCATGAATAAAACAGACCCCACATCCGTGTTCAAACATTTCCTCCACTTCATCTTCAAGCTCAATCTCTGTGGTTTCTCTCAACGAACTGTTTAATATCCTGTACATTTTTTTCTTACCATTATTCATGAATAGTTTTTCTTTTACAGAAATCTTAATCTCTTTTATTTAAAAAAAAAATGGATACCTATTCCAAACATTGTTTGGCTGACTTCCACTGTTCTTCCTTCTCTCTCTAAGTGTCTACAGACCTATAAAGCTATCCTCATCCCCCTCATCTTAAGCTATCTCAAATCAATCTGATTGTATTCAGAGATAATGGAGAGTGTGCAGTGTTATTCCTCTACTGCCCATTTCTGCATTTGAAAGCCACCAACTTGACTCTAAAAATAACACCTGGCTGGGCACAGTGTCTCACACCTGTAATCCTAGCACTTTGGGAGGACAAGACAGCCAGATCACTTGAGCCCAGGAGTTCCAGACCAACCTGGACAACATGGCGAAACCCCATCTCTCCAAAAAAAAAAAAAAAAAAAAAAAAAAAAAACGCAAAAAAACCGCAAAGAAAAAAAATTAAAATAACACCCAAGCTATGCACCTCCAGGTTGCTTCGAATATTTCCCTTAAGTGATGTTTGTCTTTCTGCCTTGTGAAAGTTGTCAGAATCAGCCGGATGCAGTGGCTCACACCTGTAGTCTCAGTACTTTGGGAGGCTGAGGCGGGTGAATCACGGGAGGTCAGGAGTTTAAGACCAGCCTGGCCAACATGGTGAAACCCCGTCTCTACTAAAAATACAAAAAAAAATGTAGCCGGGCCTGGTGGTGCATGCCTGTAGTCCCGGCCACTCGGGAGGCTGAGACAGGAGAATCACTTGAACCCAGGAGGCAGAGGTTGCAGTGAGCCGAGATCACACTATTGCACTCCAACCTGGGTGACAAGAGCAAAACTCAGTCTCAAAAAAAAAAAAAAAAAAAGAAAAGAAAAAGAAAGTTGTCAGAATCAAACTAGAGTGACCAAGTATAAGAAAATGAAACCCTGACAAATAGGGACAGGGAAGGTTATGAAGAGAACATTCTTGTGCTTATATGCTTGATAACAAAAAACTATCACAAAAGACTCTGCAAAAACCACAACCTTGCACACAGAACATTGCAACCTTATATAAAAAATACTTCTGCAAAGACATCTGCCCAGCAACTGCCTGTCCAACCTCGGACGGGTGTCACCCTCGTTAACGATCTTTGTAGCCAAGGATAATTATTTCAAAACAATTATGCAATCCTCCTCATTTTTTCCTTTGAAAACCTTTGTCTTCTTTTACCTCCCTGAATATGCACATAGTTTACTGTGGCACGCATATTCCCATTGCAATGCTTCATTCCCAAAGAAATATCATTTACTTTTAGAGAGTCCCTCTCTGTTACTTAGGTTGACAGTCTGAACCCGCGTACTCCCAGCTGACTCTGGTATAGAAGATGGGAATTCAGAACTGTTGATATAGCTCACAAATACCGTTTATGTTCTCATACCTTTGGGGCTTTATGTACCACATGAAAGGAAAGCACTGCAAATAAACCCAGATCCCAAAGCCCTATGCGGTCACCAGACTCTGGCTTTGAAGCATACCCTTTCCTGGTACATATACACAATGGAATACTATTCAGCCGTAAAAAAGAATGAGATCCTGTCCTTCGCAACAACATGGATGGAACTGGAGGTCATCATGTTAAGTGAAATAAGAAAGACAAACATCACATGTTCTCACGTATTTGTGGGAGCTAAAAATTAAAACAATTTCACTCATAAAGATAGAGAGTAGAAGGATGGTTACTAGAGGCTGGGAAGGGTAGTGGGGGATGAGGAGGGAAGTGGGGATTGATATAATTTGGATCTGTGTCCCTGCCCGAGTCTCATGTGAAATTGTAATCCCCAGTGTTGGAAGTGAGGGCTGGTGAGAGGTGATTGAATCCCAGGGGCAGATTTCTTGTGAATGGTTTAGCATCACCCCTCGGTGTTGTTCTCGTGATAATTAGTGAGTTCTCACGAGATCTGGTTGTTTAAAAGTGTGTAGCATCTCCCTGCTCGCTCGCTCTCTTGCTCCTGCTCCAACCATGTGACAGGCTGCTATCCCTTTGCCTTTCACCATGATTGTAAGTTCCCTGAGGCCCCCAAGAAGCTGAGCAGATATCAGCATCATGCTTCCTGTACAGCCTGTGGAACTGTGAGCCAATGAAACCTCTTTTCTTTATAAATTACCCAGTCTTGGCAGGGCACAGTGGCTCATGCCTGTAATCCCAGCACTTTGGGAGGCCAAGGTGGACAGATCATTGAGGTCAGAAGTTCAAGAACAACCTGGCCAACATGGTGAAACCCTGCCTCTACTAAAAGTACAAAAATTAGCTGGGCATGGTGGCGCACACCTGTAATCCCAGCTACTTGGGAGGCTGAAGCAGGAGAATTGCTTGAATCCAGGAGGCAAAGACTGCAGTGAGCCAAGATTGCACCATTGCACTCCAGCCTGGGCAACAGAGTGAGACTTCATCTCCAAATAAATAAATAAATAAATAAATAAATAAATAAATAAATAACCCAGCCTCAGGTATTTCTTTATAGCAATGTGAGAATGGACTAATACAGAGATGATTAATGGACACACACAAAAATAGAAAGAATGAATAGGACCTAGTTATTAATAGCACAACAGGGTGAGTATAGTAAAAAAAAAATGTAATTGTATATTTTAAGATAACTAAGAATATAATTGGATTGTTTGTAACACAAAAGATAAATGCTTGAGGGGATGGATACCCCCACCTACCCTGATGTGACTATTACACTTTGCATACCTGTATCAAAATATCTCATGTAACCCATTAAATATATATACCTACTATGTACCCAAAAAATTTTAAAAATTAAAATTAAAAAAAAAACCTACCCTCTCCTACTCACTCTGACTTTGTGGCCACCTACCTCACCCTTTCAGGGTTCTGGCTTGGAAAATAAGATAAACCTTATCTTACCTTATTATTTTTTCTTTCCATAAAATTAAACTCATCTATTCTCAGCTAAGTCTCATCATCAGGCTCTCCACAGAGACCACTCCGTTCCCCATGTTTCAGATTTTTCTTCATGATTTTTATGTCCTGCAGTTAACTTTTCCACCTACTTTGTAATGCTTTTTTTTTGTTGTTGTTGTTGTTGAGATGGAGTCTCACTCTGTCACCCAGACTGGAGTGCAGTGGCACCATCTCGGCTCACTGCAACCTCTGCCTCCCGGGTTCAAGCGATTCTCCTGTCTCAGCCTCCTGAGTAGCTGGGACTACAGGCACCCACCACCACGCTCAGCTAATTTTTGTATTTCTAGTGGAGATAGAGTTTCACTATATTGGCCTGGCTGGTCTCTTGACCTTGTGATCCGCCCACCTCGACTTCCCAAAGTGCTGGGATTATAGGCACCCCCCACCATTAATTTTTGTATTTTTACTAGAGATGGGGTTTCACTATGTTGGCCAGGCTGGTCTTGAACTCCTGACCTTGTGATCCACCCGCCTCGACCTCCCAAAGTGCTTGGATTACAGTTGTGAGCCACCACGCCTGGCATAATGCTCTTGTGTTCTTCACAACTCTTCCTCTTTAATATGTATCTAATCAGGCTCTATTTAAAAATTTTTAACTCTTCCCTCATCCTTCATTATAGGATTCAAAATACACTATTTTGCACTTAAGAAGCAGCAGCAGGCCGGGCACGGTGGCTCACGCCTGTAATCCCAGCACTTTGGGAGGCCGAGGCGGGCGGATCACGAGGTCAGGAGATCAAGACCATCTTGGCTAACACAGTGAAACCCCATCTCTACTAAAAATACAAAAAAATTAGCCAGGCGTGGTGGCAGGCGCCTCTAGTCTCAGCTACTCGGGAGGCTGAGGCAGGAGAATGGTGTGAACCCAAGAGGCGGAACTTGCAGTGAGCCGAGATTGCGCCACTGCACTCCAACCTGGGCGACAGAGTGAGACTCCATCTCAAAAAATAAAATAAAATAAAATAATAAAAAATAAAAAAGAAGCAGCAGCAGCAACAATTTCCCATAAATGATCATTAAAATGTGTTAAATACTTCTGTTGTCACAGTTACTGTTTACTATAATCATCTAGCTGATTTTCTGTTGAAGGCATTGCCTCTGCATTCTCAAGACTTTAATGAATAAACAACCCAGTCTGAAGTCAAACTTGGATCCTAGCTTTCCAGGATCTTGTGAAAAATCAGAGAAGCTACTTAACCTCTCTAAGCTGCAGTTTTTTCATCTAATGGGGATAGTAATAGAACCCACTTTACAGGGTTTTGTGAGATGTAAACAATAGTATATAATATATAATGCTATAAAATGCTTGGCATATAGTAACTCACTAAATGTTAGCTGTTAGCCGGGTGCAGTGGTCTGCACCTGCAGGCCCAGCTACTCAGGAGGCTGAAGCAGGAGGATCACTTGAGCCCAGGAGTTCACAACCAGCCTGGGCAACATAGTGAGACCTGGTCTCTAAAAAATAAAAATAAATACACACATACATATTAACTGTTATTGTTACATTGTATTATCTTTTTAATGTCCTAAGAGTTGCATTTTGTACTTGGGGCTTTTAAAAAATTATCATGAGGTGCAAAGCTTAAAGAAGGGTGTCTTAGGTATGAGGCAGCTTGCCTAAACATAATGTAATTATATTTATAAACCTGGCTGGACGCTGTGGCTCACGTCTGTAATGCCAGTACTTTGGGAGGCCAAGGTGGGCAGATCACCTGAGGTCGGGAGTTCGAGATCAGCCTGACCAACGTGGAGAAACCCTGCCTCTTCTAAAAATACAAAATTAGCTGGGTGTGGTGGTGCCTGCCTGTAATCCCAGCTACTTGGGAGGCTGAGGTAGGAGAATCACTTGAACATGGGAGGCGGAGTTTGTGGTGAGCCGAGATTGTGCCACTGCACTCCAGCCTGGGCAACGAGAGCAAAACTCCATCTCAAAAATAAAAAATAAGTATATTTATAAACCTATAGTAACTAGAATACAAAAAATAAGTCTACTGTGCTCCAAACTAGTTAAACAAATTACTCAATCCTAGGCAATACATTGTAAAGGGATCATTACTAAAATGTCTTATCTTCTAAAAAGGACACTAGGATTGTAAAGAATCTAAAAACTCTCTCCTAAGAGCAGTTGAAGAAACTAAGTCCATTGAGACTGGAAAAGAAAAAGTTAGTATTTTTATATATTTAAAAGGCTACCATGTGAAAAAGAGCCTGGACTAATTTTCTGTGTGAGCGCAATACAGAATTAATACCAATGGGTGTAATTCGTGGGAGTCTGATATGGGGCTCAGCATTTTAAAAGGCTTTAAGGCAGCTGGAAGTATCCAGCAATGTAATGGGCTGCCTTACCCAGTAGCGAACTTCCTATTCAATGAGGTGCTTAGTCATTCACGAACAATAAAGAGGATTTCTGTATGGATGTGGGCTGAGCTTAACTATGAGGTCTCTTCTTATTCACGGGGTTTGTTTATATGATTCTAAGGAGATGTATTTGATTCATTTGATTGTAAGTGACAGATGCTCGATCAAAAAAGTTTAAACTGGACCAGGCATGGTGACTCAAGCTTGTAATCCCAGCACTTCTGGAAGCCGAGGCAATCAGATCACTTGAGCTCAGGCGTTCAAGACCAGCCTGGCCAGCATAGCAAAACCCTGTCTCTACAAGAAATACAAAAAATTAGCTGGGTGTGGTGGCACACACCTGTGGTCCCAGCTGCTTGGGAGGCTGAGGTGGAAGGATTGGCTTGATTGAGCCTGGGAGGTGGAGGTTGCAGTGGGCTGAGATCGTGCCACTGCACTCCAGCCTGGGTGACAGAGTGAGACTGTCTAGAAAAAAAAGAAAAATTTTAAACTGAAAAAGGATTAACTGACTTACAGAACTAGGAAGTCACAGCTGTTGTCATGCAGAAATGGATTCCAGGGTTCAATGACATGCCTTCCTCTATGTGGGCTTCATTCTTAAACAGGCTTCCCCAACGAGATAGTCCACAGAAACCCGAGAACAACTGGCTCACTAGTGTTCAAACTCTCTGTCTCTCTCCCTGAACAACTGAATCAGGTCTCCAGGGACTTCTGTTTGTCTTGCCGGGGTGAGCTGCCACCTTGAATTTTGAGGATGGTATACTCTCACTGGCCAGCCTCAGTCACATGCCCACCTGTGTTGGGGAGAGTGGGTCTTGTGATTGCTAGAACCACCTGTGGAGGAGCTGCTCTCAGATAGAAGAGACATTGGGCCAAAAAAGGTAATAGATATCTGCTATAAGAGGATTCCTGAACAGGCAGATGAGAACAACAATGCTTCCAAGTTCTCGGGGTTACTCAAATAAAGCCATTCTTCTGTAATGTATTGTCCATCTGTAAATATGAACAGGAATATATACATATATGAAAAGAAGGAAAGCTAAATGAACCCTGCAGTACTAGACCAAAATCAGAGTTATCCATATAAAACCCATTTTAAGATAGATAGATAGATAGATAGATAGATAGATAGATAGATAGATAGAGTATTCATTTGTTCTCATGCTGCTAATAAAGACATACCCAGCTGGGTTCAGTGGCTCACGCCTATAAACCCAGCACTTTGGAAGGCCAAGGTGGGTGGATCACAAGGTCAGGAGTTCGAGACCAGCCTGGCCAACATGGTGAAACCCTGTCTCTACTAAAAATACAAAAATTAGCCTGGTGTGGTGGCATGCACCTGTAAGCCTGGCTACTTGGGAGGTTGAGGCAGAGAATTGCTTAAACCCAGGAGGCAGAGGTTGCAGTGAGCTGAGATGAGATCATGCCACTGCACTCCAGTCTGGGTGACAGAGTGAGACTCTGTCTCAAAAAAAAAAAAAAAAAGAAAGAAAGAAAGACATACCCAACATACCCAAGACTGGGTATTTTATAAAGGAAAGGGGTTTAACTGACTCACAGTTCCACATGGCTACAAGGCCATGGAGGAAGGCAGAGGGGGAGAAAGGCACGTCTTACATGGTGGCAGGCAAGACAGCTTATGCAGAGGAACTCCCCTTTATAAAACCATCAGATCTTGTGAGACTTATTCACTATCATGAGGACATCACGGGAAAGACCCGCCCTGTGATCCAATTACTTCCCTTCTCACTGGGTCCTTCCCATGACACATGGGAGTTAGGGGAGCTACAATTCAAGATGAGATTTGTGTGGGGACACAGCCAAACCATATCAGATAGATAGATAGATAGATGATTGATAGATAGATAGATGATTGATAGATGACAGATAGATAGATAGATAGATAGATAGATAGATAGATAGATAGATGATAGATAGATAGATAGATAGATAGATAGATAGATAGATAGATAGTCAGACAGACAGACAGATAGATAGTACCCTGTACTAACTGTAGGGTAGTCCTGCTCCACAAGGAGCAGTATGAGTTAGACATACATATATTTTGTAGCTCCGTCTGCTGAGAAGGCCTAGAAGTAACGACATTTTAGGAAATAAGTACACACCTAGTACTCAGATCTTGGTCTGCAATAAGAGGAACTAGAGCTTCTAGCAGAAGCATTTAATTCCAGGGCTGGGGCAGAGGAACTACAGGATGAGTCTGGAATATCTTGTGGTTCCAGGAAGTAAGAAAATGCTTAAAAAGGGGCTGTGCACAGTGGCTCATGCCTGTAATCCCAGCACTTTGGGAGGCTGAGGTGGGCGAATCACCTGAGGTCGGGAGTTCATGACCAGCCTTGCCAACATGTGAAACCCCGTCTCTACTAAAAACACAAAAATTAGCTGGGCACTGTGGTGGGTGCCTGTAATCCCAGCTACCTAGAGGCTGAGGCAGGAGAACTGCTTGAGCCAGAAAATCAGAGGTTGCAGTGAGCTGAGATTGTACCACTGCACTACACCCTGGGCAACAGAGTGAGACTCCATCTCAAAAATAAAAGCTTAAAAAAAAAAAAACTAGGAGGTAGGTACAGCAGATACAGGCACCAACCCAGTGGTGTTCTTAATGACAGACACTCAAACTATTTAAACTGCCATATCTCAGCTTGTCCAGGGCTGGTGAGGATTCATTGTAACTGCTACTCTCCAGGAAGCTTTTAAAAAATGGTGACACAGTAGGAAGGGGTCACTTTTCTACTCCCTTCCTCATTGTTGAGGCTATCAATTTTAATACCTCTATTAGCTCAAACAAACAAAACATTCTCCATGAGCTATAATACACATCACTATAATTTTAGAGATAAAATCTAATGGAATGTTCAGATGACTCTCCTCTGAGGTTTTATTCCACAGGAAAATACTGAAATTCTTTTTTTTTTTTTTTTTTTTTTTGAGACAGGGTCTTGCTCTGTTGTCCAGGCTGGAAGACTGCAGAAGCATGATCATGGCTCACTGCAGCCTCGACCCCCTGGGCTCAAGCGATCCTTCCACGTCAGCCTCCCAAGTAGCTGGGACCACAGGCACATGCCACTGATGGTAGTAGCAGCCCATCTAGAGTGGCCGCTGCCAAGACTCTGGCTGCAACAGGGAGATGGACCTGGGCCTCCCACTCCACAGAACAGGCGGAAGCCCTGTCCTCCCCAGGTGCCACTGCAGTTGCCCTGCTGTGACTGTAGACCCCAGTGTCTCTGTGCTTTTGGGGCCCCAGGAAGGCCCCTCTACCCCCTACAGGCTTGGAAGTGCCTGTTCCCACTGTCTGGCCTCTCCCCACTCCCAACACCTGCTCCGATCATGGAGCAAGATTGAAGCTGAGCCTGGGTGCTGTCGCAGCCCAGCAGGGTGGGCACACACTCCGGGCAATGCTGACATGCCAGTTCCCTGCCACCTTGGCCCCCTCCGGGCTTTGGGCACCGATTAGCATAGGAGGGAAGCTGAGGAGGGGCTGAGGGCAGCTCAGCACTGGCCTGCAGGCACTCGGCACAAACAGCCTACACTCCATGAATGGCGGCGGGAGGCAGACAGGCTCCTGGGAGGAAGGGAATGGGTCCTGAGTGATGCCCCACCTTCAGTCCAAAGAAGGGCTGAAGCCTGGAGGGCAGGCTGCCAGTCCTGCAGACTGGAGGGAGAGCTCATGGTGCTTTTGCCTGGGCCAGCCCATGGCTGCCCGTGCACCAATCAGTATGCACTTCCCCACTGAAGTGCATAAAACCCAAGATTGTACCATTCTGCCAGAGCAGAGAAGATGTCAGGATGACCACCTGCAGAAAGGAGCCACCCTCTCCAGGGCCTCCTCTCTGCTGAGAGCTGAACACTCATCAGGATGATCTGCCGGCAGAGAGGAGCCACCCACTCTAGGCCTCCTCTCTGCTATAGCTGAACACTTGACAGGTTGACCTGCCTGCAGAGAGGAGCCACCAATTCCAGAGCCACCTCTCTGCTGAGAGCTGAAGACTCAACAGAGACAAGCTACTCACTATGGGTCTCCTCTAAGCTGTTCTAACACCCAGTAAAGTGCCTCTTTGTCTTGTTCACCCTCCACTTGTCTGCATACCCCATTCTTTCTGGACGCAGGACAAGAACTCAGGCAAAAGTGCCACTGGCCACAGAGGTTTCCAGCCAGAAAAGTGACACCCCAAAGATCTCATAACACCACCACTCCCAGATAATTTTTGTATTTTTTTGTAGAGACTGGGTTTTGCCATGTTGGCCAGGCTTATCTCTAACTCCTGGGCTCAAACAATCAGACTGCCTTGGTTTCCCAGAGTGCTAGGATTGCAGGTGTGAGCTACCGTGCCCAGCCAAAAATCACATTCTTTAAGTATCTGGAATCTATTTCCAGATATGTAAAGCTGGCTTCTCGGTGCTGTATAATATAACCCATGCAGCAGTGAGCAAGTGTTGAGCAGCTGCTGAAAGGACCACAGCTTTGGAAGGCTTCCCTGCTGTTTTCACAGTGTTTTTTCCTGCCACGCAGCCAATAATAATAATCAACAACATTCCTAGACTGTTTCAAGGGTGTCGGGCATAGTGTCATTTACTTCACATCCATTTGATTTTTCAATCTTTTCGTAACAAACATATGAGTCAGGTACTAGTAGTATCTGCATTTAACAAGGATATATGTTCAGAAATTAAAGAATTAGTCCAGTGCCACATACAAATAAAAGTTGCAAAACCAGGATTGGAGGCCAGAGTTTTCTGACTCCAGAGTCCCCACATTTCACCATTAAGTGATACTGCCTCTCTGTGGATAAGGAGACACTTGGACATAGAAGAAGGGTGTGAGGGGTGGTTACAGGAAAATGTGTATATTTTTTCCTGGGCCGTGGCATTTCTAGCAGTAATTTACTCAATAGAAGGGATAGCGAAAGCAATGAATATGGACATCAGGAGCTTGGCCAGGTACCAGGGACCCACACCTAGCAGGCTACTGCCCGATTCTGGGCATCCATCCCAGTAGGGACCTCAGGCAAGAAGCTGAAGCCAGTGAAGCAAAATGCAATTCCCATTAGAGGGAAGGCTGGCTGGTGGGCAGAAGTAGCTTAATGTCTAGGCAGTATTTTGTGATTTTGCTCACCTCTATTACTTCAAAGAACACTGACTATAACATATGTTGGCAGAAAAAGCCCCAACACCTGAATAGTCAAGTTTTCTAATAGGTTGACTAGCAGATTTTCTCATTGGTTTAATGATTAGAAGGGTAAAGTCTGCAGGTAATAGGTGTTGGTAGCTGGGTGGACTTGAGCAGGTAGGAACTAAGAAGGGTTCAAGAACAGCCAACCTCAACATGGAGTGAGACACAGGTTAGGAGATGCTATGGGCCGGGTGCGGTGGCTCACACCTGTAATGCCAGCACTTTGGGAGGCCAAGGAAGGCAGATCACGAGGTCTGGAGATTGAGACCAGCCTGGCCAACATGGTGAAACCCCGTCTATACTAAAAATACAAAAAATAGCTGGGCATGGTGGCAGGTACCTGTAATCCCAACTACTTGGGAGGCTGAGGCAGGAGAATCCCTTGAACCAGGGAGTCGGAGGTTGCAGTGAGCTGAGATCGTGCCACTGCACTCCAGCCTGGGTGACAGAGCAAGAGTCCATCTCAAAAAAAAAAAAAAAAAAAAAAAGATACATGACAGCCACGACATGAATTCAACTCATCCTTTAATAACGGTTGAGTGCCTTTTATGTCCCAGGTCTTAACGCTGCTGAGTTAAGCAGAAACATTTCAGGGATGATAAGATAAAGTCGCTGCCACTAAGGAAAAGGGAGAAAGAATAGCATTGATTGAGCTTTTACTCTGTGCCAATCACTGTATCTGGTTGTGGGAATGCAAAGAGGAATAAGTCAGAGCCTTTCCCCTTAGAGAGCTTAGAGTCTAGCCAGAGGAGCCAGACCCACAATTAACTCCATAAAGTAAAATGTGGTTAGCTTTGTAGGTGCCCAGGATGTGAAGGGCTGCAGAGCATGGAAGAGGAAATACATGAATTCACCCTGTGTAGGTAAAAGAGGATTTTCTGTCTTCCATGGAGATGACATTTGAAATGGATTTTAAATTCTGATTAGGTATTTAACAATTGAGAAAGTAGGAGGACATTGTTGGCACCAGAACAGCATGAAAAAGACATGAACATAGGGAGGCATGGTGGAGCATGGTACATAGCAGACAGTGTGGAGCCCAGCATGGCTAGAGTACAAGACATAAGGGGCGGATAGAGGTGAAGGGCAGCGAAGACTAGAAAGTGGGTAGATCAGGGTTTTAAGTACTTTCAGGTAATAGAGGACCACTGAAGCCTTTCAGCAGGCTTGATGCAATCGGGCCTGTTTCCTTAAAGACAAAGAACTGACAAATGAGAGGAAGGATGGAAGCAAGAAATCCAGGAAGCCACAAGAGTGTTCGCAGAGAGCAGGGCCAACTCCAAGTGTATCTGCTCCTTGATAGGGGTCAGCTGGACATAGCCTGTGCCTCCCATTTTGGAGAAATAAGAGCTTAGGGTAGCCAGATCTTCTCACTTTTTGCGAAAACCTAAAACTGTGCATTCAATGGCAATTACCTACCCCAACACTGATTTTTAATGTTGCTTAAACATCTTTAAATCACCACACAGGACAAGCAAAACATCCTCAGTTAAATTTCTGTACAATTAGGAATACAGGAGGGATTTAAATTCCAAACAGGGCCGGACGCGCTGGCTCATGCTTGTAATCCCAGCACTTTGGGAGGCCGAGGTGGGTGGATCACTTGAGGTCAGGAGTTCAAAACCAGCCTGGCCAACATGATGAAACCCCATCTCTACTAAAATACAAAAAAATTAGCCGGGCGCAGTGGCAGGCACCTGTAATCCCAGCTACTTGGGAGGCTGAGGCAGGAGAATTGCTTGAACCCAGGAGACAGAGTTTGCAGTGAGCTGAGATCACACCACTGGAATCCAGCCTGGGTGACAGAGCGAGACTCCATCTCAAAAAATAATAAATAAATAAAAATTAAAAAAAATTAAATCTAGACAATAAGGTTTGGTAATTGATTCCTAGAGTCAGGCCAACCTGCGTTTGAATTCTTTTTTTCTCACTAACCAACCAGGAGGCCAGGGGCTAGTGAGACAGCCTCTTTGAGCCTTATTACACAAGATGGTTGACATTGTTGCTATGAAAGACAAATAAGAAATGCATGTTAAGTATTTAGAACAGGACCTAGCATATAATAAATACTCAATAGACTGGGTGCACTGGCTGATGCCTGTAATCTGAGCACTTTGGGAGGCAAGGTAGGAGTATTGTTTGAGACTGGGAGTTCAAGACCAACCTGGGCAACATAGTAAGACCTCACCTCTACAAAAATAAATAAATATATACATTTTTTAAGTGCTCACTATGTGTTTCTGTGGCTGTTGTTATATCTATTGTATTGTATTCTACATTGTATATTTTATTATTGTCTAGTTAATATATTATTATCCTTTTCATCAGTTAGAATTGAGTTTTTATTTAGATTCAAAGCACCACAAATAACCACTGCAATCTTAAAAACAACAATTCATATCCCTGGTTTTGATACCCATAGTTGTAAGAAAAGCAAGAGAAAACCGGCTGGGTAGAGCGGCTCACACCTGTAATCCTAGAACTTTGGAATGCCGAAGCAGGAGTATTGCTTGAGGGCAGGAGCTCAAGGCCAGCCTGGGCAACATGTTGAGACTCTATCTCTACAATCTTTAAAAAGTTAACTGGGCGGCCAGGCCTGTGGCTCACACCTGTAATCCCAGCACTTTGGGAGGCCAAGGTGGGCAGATCAGGAGGTCAGCAGATCAAGACCATCCTGGCTAAAACGGGGAAACCCAGTCTCTACTAAAAATACAAAAAATTAGCCAGGTGTGGTGGCGGGCACCTGTAGTCCCAGCTACTCGGGAGGCTGAGGCAGGAGAATGGCGTGAATTCAGGAGGCGGAGCTTGCAGTGAGCTGAGATGGCGCCACTGCACTCCAGCCTGGGCGACAGAGCGAGACTCTGTCTCAAAAAAAAAAAAAAAAAAGTTAACCGGGCATGGTGTTGAGTGCCTGTAATCCCACCTACTCAGGAGGCTGAGGCAGGAAGATCACTTGAGCACAGGGGGTGGAGGTTGCAGTGAGCTATGATGAAACCACTGCACTCCAGTCTGGGTGACAGAGCGAGACCCTGCGAAAGGAAGGAAGGAAGGAAGGGAGGGAGGGAGGGAGGGAGGGAGGGAGGGAGGGACTTAGCTGTCATTATTTTTATCCTGCCTAAGGAAAACAAGCCAGAAAATATGGACTGGAAATTCAGTGAGTCTTCTCCCAAGAATATTTGCTAATTGCATTTTCGAATGAGCCTCATTCTTTCTCTCACTTCTTTTCAAGTCTTGCAAGTTTTTAACTTAGAAATTTTTCAGGCTTAGAAACTTAGATGGCTCACGCCTGTAATACCAGCACATTGGGAGGTCAAGGTGGGAGGATTGATTGAGCCTGGGTATTTGAGACAAACCTGGTCAAAAAAGTGAGACCTCACTTCTAAAAAATAATTTTTAATTAATTAATTAATTTAAATCGATCAATTAAATTTGTTAATTAAATTTTTCCACCTTATATTTTCAAAAATAATGAATTTTTTTAACATTTTCAATAGCCCAACCTAAATTTATAATTAAAGATAAAGTGGACTGTTTCAAGAAGTCTAAGTGAACAGAAATCTCCCTTGCTAAAGATAAGGGTTCAAAGCTTTACATTTAATCCTCAAAATAAATTAGATCCAATCTTGCTTTGAGAGCACCCAGCAGATGAGCAACAGCTGTTATGTTTGACATACATTTGACCTTCATTTCTGTCTTCTAGCAAAATAGGAAAGTAAGATTAGCTTATATGAGATCAGAATAGAAATAACTGAACTGAGATCACTGTTATAATATGCTGGGCAGGACTCTTTCAGTTGCAAGTGACTAAAACTAACTCACACAAGCTTAAACAAAAAGAGGATGTATTGCTCCACATAATCAAAAGCCTTCAGGCATGGCTGGATGCAGGGGCTCAGGTGAGATCGTCAGGAGCTGGTCTCTGTAGCCCTCTCCTTCCTCCACTCTGCTCTCCTCTATGTTGGTTTTATTCTCAGGCAGGCTCTTTCCATATGGTGGCTGTGGTAGTTAATTTTAGGTGTCAACTTGTCTGGGTTAAGAAACCCAAATAGCTGGGAATACATTATTTCTGGTATATCTGTGAGGGTATTTCCAGAAGAAATTGGCTTTTAAATCAGTAGAGTAAGGAAGACCCATCCTCACCCAATGTGGGTGGGCACCATCTGATTAGTTAAGGGTCCAAACAGAACCAGAAGGCAGAGGAAAGCTGAATTTGCTCTCTCTTCTGCAACTGCGACACCATCTTCTCCTGCCCTTGGACATCAGAACTCCAGGTTCTCTGGCCTTTGGACTCCAGGATTTGCACCAGCAGTCCCTCAGTTTCTCTGGACTTTGGTCTCAGACCCAGAGTTACACCAATGGCTCTCTTGGTTCTCAGACCTTTGGACTTGGACTGAGCCATGCTACCAGCTTCCCTGGTTCTCTACCTTGCAGGTAGCCTGTCAGGGGACTCCTAAGCCTCCATAATCACAGGAGTCAATTCCCATAATAAATCCTCTTTCATCTATCTGTCTATCTATCTCTCTATCCATCCATCCCATTGGCTCTGTTTCTCTGAAGAACCCTGACTAATTCAGTGGTCCTCAACTGTTTCAGCCTTAGAATACTCTAAATGGCTGAAGCAAACCCTGGAGTTGGGAGATAGAGTCAATGAGACTTAAGCCACATGGAATGAGAATGAGGAAGAGGTCACATGTAGGTCAAACATAACAGCTGTTGCTTATCTTTTACTGGGTGTTCTCTAAGCAAAGTTGGATCTAAAGTATTTTGGGGATTAAATGCAAAGCATTGAACACTTATCTTTAGCAAGAGAGATTTCTGTTCATTTAGACTTCTTGAAGCAGTCTACTTTATCTTCAATTATAAATTTAGGTTGGGCTATTGAAAATGTTCACAAAACTTCATTACTTTTGAAAATATAAGCTGGAAAAATTTCTTTAATTAACAAATTTAATTGATTGAAATTAATTAATTAATTTTTATTTATATTTTTATTGAGATGAGGTCTGTTTTCTAAGGAAAAGAGGAGTACTTGAAGGTAGAATGGATTCCAAGAAGAAAAATCAAAACAAAACAAGTGCTCCACCAACATTGCACATGTATACATATGTAACAAACCTGCATGTTGTTCACGTGTACCCTAGAACTTAAAGTATAATAAGAAGAAGAAGAAGAAAGAAAAAAAAAAACAAGTGCTCATCACCTGAGTATGCTCACTACAAAGTCCAAAGAAAATTGATAACTTGCTTCATGCCACAGCATGTAGCAGACACTCCTGCTAACAAACAGGCAAACTAGTCACTGGCTCCCTCATTCACTAGGAACACAGACACTGACAGTGGAGTCTATGGAGAGCATCTCCGATTTCCCAGTTAGCACCCTATCACATGCAGCTTTATGAAGTAGAACATGTTTCTTCTTCCTTGAAATTTAGACTGTTTTAAGCCTGGCATGGTGGCTCATGCCTGTAATCCCAGCACTTTGGGAGGCCGAGGCAGGTGGATCACCTGAGGTCAGGAGTTCGAGACCAGCCTGGCCAACATAGTGAAACCCTGTCTCTACCAAAAATACAAAAGTCAGCTGGGCATGGTGGTGGGTGCCTGTAGTCCCAGCTACTGGGAAGGCTGAGGCAGGAGAGTTGCTTGAATCTGGGAGGCGGAGGTTGCAGTGAGCCAAGACTGTGCCATTGCACTCCAGCCTGGGTGACAAGAGCAAAACTCCATCTCAAATAAATAAATAAATAAATAAATAAATAAATAAATAAATTTAGACTGTTTTAAAAAATATGACTGAAAAATTTCAGGTTAGATAAGCACTTCCTGTTGGTAAAGGTGAGTAGACCCTGGAATGGAATTATTATGTAAAGTTTTAAGATTTTTCTATCATGAGCTATGTAGAAAATAGGGCCAATAAACTTACTGATCTCTTAAAGGCAAGCCTTAGAGTAATCTACAAATAAATAAATAAATTTAGACTGTTTAAAAAAAAGTGTACTGAAAAATTTCAGGTTAGATAAGCACTTCCTGTTGGTAAAGGTAAGTAGACCCTGGAATGGAATTATTGTGTAAAGTTTTAAGATTTTTCTATCATGAGCTGTGTAGAAAATAGGGCCAATGAACTTACTGATCTCTTAAAGGCAAGCCTTAGAGTTATCTACAAATAATCCCATGCCTTTGAATGGCCAGGTCTCTTCAGGGTTCTCCAGAGAACTAGAACCAACAACATATGTGTATATAAGAGGAGATTTGTAGTGAGGATTGGCTCATGTGATTATGAAGGCTGAGAAGTCCCACAATTTGCTGTTTGTAAACTGGAGAACCAGAAAACTGGTGATGCAATTCCACTGGAACTCTGAAGTCCAAGTCTGAAGGCCTGAGAAACAGGAGAGCTAATGGTGTATGCTCCAGTTCAGACCCAAAGGCCTGAAAACCAAGAGCACTGATGTCTGATGGCAGAGAAAGACAGATGTCCCAGCTCAAACAGAGTGAATTCACCCTCCTCTACTTTTTTGACCTATTTGGGCCCTAAAAGGATAAAATTATCCATAAAATGATAAAATTATTGTATTGATGAACTTAATTTTCTTTACCGAGTCTACTGATTCAAATGTTAATCTCTTCCCAAAACACTTTCACAGACATACCCAGAAATGTTTTACCAGATATTTCAGCATCCTTTAGCCCAGTCAAGTTGACGCGTAAAATTAAGCAACCCACTACTATATACCTAATGTGGTCCTTCAATCTATTATCTCATTTTGAAAACCAGACTTTGAACTTCTGTAAAGTTCTGTACTGCTCTGAAATCAAGGCTTTGTAAAGCTCCCACTTTTAATGAGCAGTAGGATGATGCAGTGAGAAGTTAGATTTGGAATCACAAGCTTGGAAGCCAAGTCTCAAATGTGCTTCCTGTTATTTGCATGATTTTATGCAGCTCTGAGCCTCAGTGTCCTTGTCTCTCAAACACCAACAGAAATTCCTACCCTACTACCTTGCCAGAATTTTTTAAGAAGCAAATGCGATAATTGTTCAGGAAGCCAATATTTAAACTAGAAAGTGTTCTACTTTTTTGTAAGGTAGACACATGGAGCTACTCTATAATTAAATGACTACTTGCAGAGTCATTCAATGTCAAGCCAGTTTCCTTCACTCTCCTCCAAGTGGGCAGTTATTAATATTTAAATATTTTTTTAAATGGTGATGGAAGCTAATTTAAGACAGCCTGCCTTTCTTTTAGAGAAATAAAACTATCTTTTCTTCTTTAATAAAGATATTTATGAATTCATGGACTTTAACTCCTTTTTTTTGTAATAAATCTGTTTGTCTTCAGATTATGGAAGAGTGTTATGAGATTTTAAAAGAAATCTGTATTTTTTTTTTTTTTTGAGACAAAGTCTCACTTTATTGCCCAGGCTGGAGTGCAGTAGCGCAATCTCAGCTCACTGTAACCTCTGCCTTCCAGGTTCAAGCGATTCTCGTGCCCCAGCCTCCCCAGTAGCTGGGATTGCAGGTGTGTGCCACCACATTTGCTAATTTTTTTGTTTTTTTGGTTTTTTTTTTGAGACAGAGTCTCACTCTGTCACCCAGCCTGGAGTGCAGTGGCGCAATCTCAGCTCACTGCAAGCTCCGCCTCCCGGGTTCACGCCACTCTGCCTGAGCCTCCCAAGTAGCTGGGACTACAGGCACCTGCCACCACACCCGTCTAATTTTCATACTTGCTAATTTTTAGTAGAGATGCTATTTTTAGTAGAGGGGCTGGTCTTGAACTCCTGACCTCAGGTGATCCACCCACCTTGGCCTCCCAAAGTGCTGGGATTACAGGCGTAAGCCACCGCGCCCAGAGGAAATCTGTATGTTATTTCTGGCTGCCATTTTTTCCACGTTGAGTTTCCAAATTCTTTAATTGATATACGTCAGACTTTGGTGTCTGGTAAGTTCTCTACAACTTGATTAGGAGCATTCTTCCTCTTCCCCTATTTCCTCTGTTGGCTCTCTCTGCAGGGACATCAATGTTGCATCCTATCGCTCATCAGCCCGTCCCTCCAGGACACTCTAGCAAAGCAGTGCTTCTCAGTCTGCATGCACACCTGAACCGTGTGGGCAGCTTTTCAAAAAAATCCCAAAGTTTGGCCTCACTCAGAAGTAGGACTTAGTCAGAGGTAGGGCACAGGCTTCCCGGTCTTTGTAGAGTCCCTCAGCTGATTCTAATGTGCAGTCAGAGCTGGAAACCATGGGGGAAATTTACCTTCTGAACAAAGTTTTTTTGTTTTTTGTTTTTTTTGAGACAGTGTTTCCCTCTTGTTGCCCAGGCTGGAGTGCAATGGCATGATCTCCGCACACTGCAACCTCCACCTCCTGGGTTCAAGTGATTCTTCTGTCTCAGCCTCCTGAATACCTGCAATTACAGGTGCCCACCACTACACCCAGCTTATTTTTGGTATTTTTAGTAGAGACGGGATTTCACCATGTTGGCCAGGCTGGTCTCAAACTCCTGACTTTAGGTGATCCTCCCACCTCAGCCTCCCAAAGTGCTGGGATTACAGGCATGAGCCACCACACCCAGACTAACAAACTTTTTAAATGCAGTATCCACCATTGTGAACAAGGCAAATATTCTTTGCTAATTCTATTTCTAGTTTTAATCTTTTTCTTTATGTCTTGGCTACTGCATTCTATTTGTAATGTTCTTGTGTTCTTGAAGTTAATATAAATATTAGTATAGAAAAGACCAATATTCCTTCATAACAACAAAATTAATGTTCCCATCTGTTTTTATTGCTTATTTTATTTTTGCTAATACATGGAGTTCTTTGAATATCTGAACTTGTCCCTACTTTTTAAAATTATCTAGAACCTCTAACAGTGTTAAATATTAATTTTAGAGTTATTACAGATTCATGGTTGCATTCTGTGGTACAACAGTCATAATATTTTTTTCTTTTTAGACGGAGTCTCACTGTGTCACCCAGGCTGGAATGCAGTGGCGCCATCTCAGCTCACTGCAACCTCTGCCTCTGGGGTTCTAGCAATTCTCCTGCCTCAGCCTCCTGAGTAACTGGGAATACAGGTGCGCGCCATCACGCCTGGCTAATTTTTGTATTTTTAGGAGAGACGGGGTTTCACCATGTTGGCCAGGCTGGTCTCAAACTTCTGACCTCAGGTGATTCACCCACCTTGGCTTCCCAAAGTGCTGGGATTACAGGAGTGTGCCACTATGCCCGGCCATAATAATTTTTATTAATATGATCCTCATTCTTTCATTCGTTGAGCATATACCATGTCAGAGACTTTGCTTTGCTCTGAGAAGACCAGGATGAATAAGACATGTGTCTAAGTGATGGCAGAGGCCTGGGAAAAACAGGCATGTAAATCAGTCAATTTAGAGCAATATAACAAGTGTTCCAAAAGAAATAAGTAAAAGTGCAATGACATCCCAGAGTCCCCTAGGTTTCAGGTTCGTCTGTAACTCTCCAGTCCAGACTTTTCACAGAACTTTAAACTCACTAGAGGAGGGGCCAAGAGCAACAGTGGTTAGGAGGCTGTTACAATAGCCCAGGCGAGATATGGTGATGCTCAGAGCAGGATTCAGGCTGTCATTACTCACAGGGACAATTGCCACAGCTTCCTTCTTGGTTTTCCTACCTCCAGTCTTCTCCCCTTAAATCCATTCTCCACATGCAGCCAGACTAACCTTTTTAAAAGCAAACCTGATCATGTTGATACCACCCCAACCCCTGCTTACAAGCATTTATGGCTCCCTGTGGTTCTCAGGGGACCATCCAACCTCCCTTTTTAGAAGGTCCCTACCTCCTCACTTGTCACCCTTTCTCTCTACCATACCCTCTTTGTCCTTCTCAGCATACCTGCCAATTTCCTTCTATTCAGGGCCTTTGCACATGCTCTCTGTGCCCTTAGCTAACTCCTAACTCTTTCTTTGGCTCTCCACTTTTTCTAACTAGGCCATTTCCCCCATTTCACTCTGTTACAGCACCATGTATTTTGCCTTCATAAAACTTACCATAAGTGAAATGTGGTGCCTTTCCTGAAGCTCTTTGATCACTATCTGTCTCCAATAGAGCGGAGACTGTGTATGCTTTTGTCTTGCAGCATAGCTATCTGCACTGAGCTCAGAACTGGGCCCACAGCAGGTGTTCAAGAACTATGTCCTGATGAATGAATGAGGAAATGAGGAGGTCTTGGAGGTCCTCACAGAGGAACGCGTGTACATCATCTGGATGTGCTCAGGGATCATCAGGAAGCATGGCATCAATGGAACACAGGGTATAAGACAGGGATCAGGAAAACATGAAGCTAAACAGACAAGCTGGGACCAGCTCATGAAAAGCCTCATGAGTGTCTCTATTCTGCAGACAATAAGGAACTACCACATAATAGCAGAGGAGTAATACTATTACGAAGGTAAGTTGTAGAAACCTAAGTCTGGCAGCTTTGTGAAAGGTGTGTTGGTGCAAGGAAGCCCTGAAGGCAGGGACTTGAGTTAGATGATGATTACATTTCAGGATAGTTTCCTATTTCCAACTGCACTAGCCACTCAATCTAGTGGCTTCTTCAGTTTGACCCTTGGCAATCCTCCTCAGACACAATTCTGTTCTCTATTGGCTGTCCATTTTCTTCCTACCCTGTTGGGTAAATACCATGGACAATTTGGACCAACACCTTTCCACCAAATTGGCCAGATTCACCAGTATTTCCTCACAAGGATGATTCAGACAGGATCAGGATGTTAAACTCGGTCAGTCAAACTGTTTCTAGACTTCCTCAATTCTTTTTCTTTCCTTTTAGTCAGGTTTGTATTAATGGCAACTGGAGCCCCAATGGTTGATAAGATGACTCAAAAGGAACCTACAGTGTGCAGAGAGAAAAGGGCTTGGGGAAGAAACCTTAGGAACACCAACATTTTGGAGCAGAAAGAGCCAGTAGCTGAGACCAAGGCAAAAAAGAAAAAAAGAAAAAAGAAAGGACGAAGCAAAGGAATGACATCTGGGACACTTCTAGAATATCACCAGAAGCTAAAGGAGAAGAGAGTTTCATGAAGGAGAGAGTAGTCAATGGTGTCCAAAGTCACAGATATGAGAAGCAACATTTGGGATCTAAAAGATGCCAAATGAATTGTGTTGATAGGAGGTCTTTATTAACCTTAACAAAAACAGTTTCTTTGCAAAAGTGCAGGCAGAAAATGATTTCAAGTGTACCAGTGAGATATGAAGACAGCAAGTGGAGAATACTCTTCTGAAATTTTCACAGAGAGAGGGGAGTGGTTGAGGTTGAGTAGAACCATGGGAGGGGATGTCAAAGGCCATGATGATAGTGTAAAGTTTGAGAGAACAGATTTTGTTACAAACTCAGCCTGCCTAGGTTTGAATCTCCCACTTACTATGTGACCTTGAGCAAGTTGTTTAAATTGTGCCTCAGTTGCCTCTTCTGTTGAATGAAGATAATAATAATACTTACCTCATAGGATTATCATAACGATTAATGGAGTTAATATTTGTAAATGCTTGGAACACTGACTCATGGCAAGCACTAGGTGAATGTAGCAGCTATTTTTTTCCATTTATATAAAATTTATTTTTTTACAAGGTTTTTTTTAGAATTGGGGTTTTTGTTTTATTATTATTATTAATTATTTCAATAGGTTTTGGGGGAACAGGTGATGTTTAGTTACGTGGATAAGTTCTTTAGTGGTGATTTCTAAGATTTTCGTGCACCCATCACCCAAGCAGTGCACACTGTACCCAATGTGTTGTCTTTTATCGCTCATCCCCCTCCCACACTTGCCCCTGAGTCCTCAAAGTCCATTGTATCATTCTTATGCCTTTACATCCTCATAGCTTAGCTCCCACTTATAAATGAGAATATATAACATTTGGTTTTCCATTCCTGAGTTACTTCACTTAGAATAATGATCTCCAATTCCATCCAGGTCGCTCCAAATGCCATTATTTCATTCCTTTTTATGGCTGAGTAGTATTCCACAGTGTGTGTGTGTGTGTGTGTGTGTGTGTGTGTGTGTGTGTGTGTGTGTGTGTATATATATATATATATATCCCATTTTCTTTATCCACTCATTGATTGATGGGCATTTGGACTGGTTCCATATTTTTGCAATTACAAACCGTGGTGCTGTAAACATGTGCGTGCAAGTGTCTTTTTCGTATAATGACTTCTTTTTCTTTGGGTAGATACCCAGCAGTAGGATTGCTGAATCAAATGGTAGATCTACCTTTAGTTCTTTAAGGAATCTCCAAACTGTTTTCCATAGTGGTTGTACTAGTTTACATTCCCACTAGCAGTGTAAAAATGTTCCCTCTTCACCACATCCATGCCAACATCTGTTATTTTTTTATTTTTTTAACTATGGTCATTCTTGCAGGAGCATGGTGGTGTCGCATTGTGGTTTTGATTTGCATTTCCCTGATAATTAGTGACGATGAGCATTTTTCCATATGTTTGTTGGCCATTTGTATATCTTCTTTTCAGAATTGTCTATTCACGTCCTTAGCTCACTTTTTGATGGGATTGTTTGTTTTTTTCTTTCTGATTTGTTTGAGTTCCTTATAGATTCTGGATATTAGTCCTTTGTCAGATGCATAGCTTGCAAAGATTTTCTCCCACTCTGTGGGTTATCTGTTTACTCTGTTGATTATTTCTTTTGCTGTGCAGAAGCTTTTTAGTTTAAGTCCCATCTGTTTGTTTTTGTTGCATTTGCTTTTGGGTTCTTGGTCACGAAGTCTTTGCCTAAGCCAGTGTCTAGAAGGGTTTTTCTGATGTTACCTTCTAGAATTTCTATGGTTTCAGGTCTTAGATTTAAGTCTTTTTCCATCTTGAGTTGATTTTTGTATAAGGTGAGGGATGAGGATCTAGTTTCATTCTTCTACATGTGGCTTGCCAGCACCATTTGTTGAGTAGGGTTTCCTTTCCCCACTTTATGTTTTTGTTTGCTTTGTCAAAGTTCAGTTGGCTGTATTTGGCTTTATTTCTGGTTCTCTGCTCCATTGGTGTTTGTACCTATTTCTATGCCAGTATCATGCTGTTTTGGTGACTATAACCTTGGGTATAAGTTGAGTAATGTGATGCCTCCAGATTTGTTCTTTTTGCTCAGTCTTGCTTTGGCTATGTGGGCACTTTTTTTGGTTCCATATGAATTTAGGATTGTTTTTTCTAGTTCTATGAAGAATGATGATGGTATTTTAATGGGAAGTGCATTGAATTTGTAGATAGCTTTTGGCAGTATGGTCATTTTCACAACATTGATTCTACCCATCCATAAGACTGGAATGTTTCCATTTTTTGTGTCATCCATGATTTCTTTCTGCAATGTTTTGTGGTTTTCCTTGCAGAGGTCTTTCACTTCCTTGGCTAGGTATATTCCTAGGTATTTTATTTGTTTATTTAATTTGCAGGTATTGTAAAAGGGGTTGAGTTATTGATTTGATTCTCAGCTTGGTCGCTGTTGGTGTATAGCAGAGCTACTAATTTGTGACATTGATTTTGTAGCCTGAAACTTTACTGAATTTATTTATTAAGTCTAGGAGCTTTCTGGTTGAGTCTTTAGGGTTTTCCAGGTATACAATCATATCATCTGCAAACAGCAACAGTTTGATTTCCTCTTTGCTGATTTGGATGCCCTTTATTTCTTTCCCTTGTCTGATTGCTCTGACTAGAACTTCCAGTACTATGTTGAACAGAAATAAGAAATGCTTTCAACTTTTCCCCATTCAGTATAATGTTGGCTGTGGGTTTGTCACAAATGGCTTTTATTACCTTAAGGTATGTCCCTTCTCTGCTGATTTTGCTGAGGGTTTTAATCATAAAGGGATACTGGATTTTGTCAAATTTTGTGTGTTTATTGACATGATCATGTGATTTTTGTTTTTAATTCTGTTTATGTAGTGTATCACATTTATTGACTTGCATATGTTAAACCATCCCTGCACGCCTGGTATGAAACCCACTTGATCAGGATGGATTATCTTTTTTATATGCTATTGCATTCAGTTAGCTAGTATTTTTGTTGAGGATTTTTGCTACTACATTCATCAGGGATATTGGCTGTAGTTTTCTTTTCTTGTTATGTCATTTCCTGGTTTTGGTATTAGGGTAATACTGGCTTCATAGAATGATTTAGGGAGGATTCCCTCTTTCTCTATCTTTTGGAATAGTGTCAACAGGATTGGTACCAATTCTTCTTTGAATGTCTGATAGAAGTCAGCTGTGAATCCTTTTGGTCCTGAACATTTTTCTGTTGGCAATTTTTAAATTACCATTTTAATCTCACTGCTTGTTATTGGTCAGTTCAGGGTTTCTATTTCTTCCTGGTTTAATCTAGGAGTGTTGTATATTTCCAGGAATTTATCCATCTTCTCTAGGTTCTCTAGTTTGTGAGTGTAAAGGTGTTCATAGTAGTCTTGAATGAGCTTTTATATTTTTGTGGTATCAATTGTAATATCTCTCATTTTATTTCTAATTGAGCTTATTTGGATCTTTTCTTGGTTAATCTTGCTAATGGTCTATCAATGTTGTTTATCTTTTCAAATAATCAGTTTTTTGTTTCATTTATCTTTTGTATTTGTTTGTTTATTTGTTTTAATTTCATTTAGTTCTGCTCTTATGTTTGTTATCTCTTTTTTGTGTGGGGAAGGGGCTTGAGATGGGGTCTCACTCTGTTGTCCAGGCTGGAGTGCAATGGCATGACCTTGGCTCACTGCAACCTCCACCTCCCAAGTTCAAGTGATTCTTGTGCCTCAGCCTCCCCAGTAGCTGGGATTATAGGTATGCACCACCACACCCAGCTAATTTTTTTTGTATTTTTAGTAGAGACAGGGTTTCACCATTTTGGCCAGGCTGGTCTTGAACTACTGATCTCAAGTGATCCACCCACTTTGGCCTCCCAAAGTGCTGGGATTACAGGTGTGAGCCACCATGGCTGGCCTGATCTTTGCTATTTGTTTTCTTCTGCTGAGTTTGGGTTTGGTTTGTTCTTGTTTCTCTAGTTCTTTGAGGTGTGACCTTAGATTGTCTATTTGTGCTCTTTCAGACTTTTTGATTTAGGCATTTAATTCTATGAACTTTCCTCTTAGTACCACTTTTGCTGTACCCCAGAGGCTTTCATAGGTTGTGTCACTATTATCATTCAGTTCAAAGAATTTTTTAATTTCCTTCTTGATTTCATTGTTGAGCCAAAGATCATTCAAGAGTAGGTTATTTAATTTCCATGTATTTGCATGGTTTTGAGGATTCCTTTTGGAGTGAATTTCCAATTTTATTCCACTGTGATCTGAGAGAGTACTTGATATAATTTCAATTTTCTTAAATTTATTGAGACTTTTGTGGCCTATCATATAGTCTATCTTGGAGAATGTTCCATGTGCTGATGAATAGAATGTATATTCTGCAATTGTTGGGTAGAATGTTCTATAAATATCCATTAAGTCCATTTCTTCTAGGGTATAGTTTAAGTCCATTGTTTCCTTGTTGGAAACAAGGGCTCAAGGGCTGCTGTTCAGATTCTTTCTAACTTGATGACATGTCTAGTGCTGTCAGTGGAGTATTGAAGTCTCCCACTATTATTATGTTGCTATCTGTTTCATTTCTTAGGTCTAGTAGTAACTGTTTTATAAATTTGGGAGCTCCCGTGTTAGGTGCATATATATATAAACTCATATATATATATATCACATAGAAACTCATATATCACATATAAACTCATATATATATATATGAGTGTAATATTTTCCTGTTGGACTAGACTTTTTATCATTATATAATGTCCCTCTTTCTTTTTTAACTGTGTTGCTTTAAAGTCTGTTTTGTCTAAGAATAGCTACTCCTGCTTGCTTTTGGTGTCCATTTCCATGGAATATCTTTTTCCACCCCTTTACCGTAAGTTTATCTGAGTCCTTACGTGTTAGGTGAGTCTCTGGAAGCCAGCAGATGTTTAGTTGGTGAATTCTTATTCATTCTGCCATTCTGTAGCTTTTAAGTGGAGTATTTAGGCCATTTACATTTGGCATTAGTATTGAGATGTGAGGTGTCATTCTCTTCATCGTGCAAGTTGTTGCCTGAATACCTTATGTTTTTTTAAAATTATTTTATTGTTTTATAGGTCCTGTGAGATTTATGCTCTAAGAAGGTTCTATTTCGGTGTATTTCTTTTTTCTTTTTTTATTTTGTTATGGGGACTCGCTGTGTCACCCAGGCTGGAATGCAGTGGTGCACTCTCGGCTCACTGCAACTTCTGCCTCCCAGGTTCAAGCAATTCTCATGACTCAGCCTCCAGAGTATCTGGGACTACAGGTGTGTGCCACCACACCTGGCTAATTTTTTGTGGTTTTAGTAGAGACAGGGTTTCACTGTGTTAGCCAGGATGGTCTTGATCTCCTGAACTCGTGATCTGCCCACCTTGGTCTCCCAAACTGCTGGGATTACAGGCTTGAGCCACCATGCTCGGCCTATTTTGGTGTATTTTGAGGCTTTGCTTCAAGATTTAGCACTCCTTTTAGCGGTGCTTGTAGTGCTGGCTTGGTAGTGCAAATTCTCTCAGCATTTGTTTGCCTGAAAAAGACTGTATCTTTTCTTTATTTATGAAGCTTAGTTTTGCTGGATACAAATTTCTTGGCTGATAATTGTTTTGTTTAAGGAGGCTAAAGATAGGACCCCAATCCTTTCTAGGTTGCAAGGTGTCTGCTGAGAAATCTGCTATTAATCTGATAGATATTCTTTTATACATTACCTGAAGCTTTTGCCTTATGGCTCTTAAGCTTCTTTCCTTCATCTTGATTTTAGATAACGTGATAACTATGTGCCTAGGGGATGATCTTTTTGCGATGAATTTCCCAGATGTTCTTTGAGCTTCTTGTATTTGGATGGCTAGATCTCTAGCAAGCCTGGAAAAGTTTTCCTCAATTATTCTCTCAAATGTTTTCCAGACTTTTAGATTTCTCTTCTTCCTCAGGAACGCCAGTTATTCTTAGTTTTGGTCATTTAACATAATCCCAAACTTCTTGGAGACTTCGTTCATTTTTTTAATTTGTTTTTCTTTGTCTTTCTCAGATTGGGCTAATTCGAAAGCCTTGTCTTCAAGCTCTTAAGTTCTTTCTTCTACTTGTTCTATTCTATTGTTGAGACTTTCCAGTGTATTTTGCAATTCTCTAAGTGTGTCCTTCATCTCCAGGAGTTGTGATTGTTTCTTATTTATGCTATCTATTTCTCTGGAGATTTTTCCTTCCATACCCTGTAACATTTTTAAAATGTCTTTAAGTTGGTATTTACCTTTCTCTGGTGCCTCCCTGAGTAGCTTAATAATCGACCTTCTGAATTTTTTTGCTGGCCATTTAGAGATTTCTTCTTGGTTTGGATTGTGAACCTAGAAAACCTGAGACAGCTCTCAGTTAATTTAGAAAGTTTATTTTGCCAAGGTTGAGGACGGACCATGACACTGCCTCAGGGAGTTCTGATGACATGCCCAAGGTGGTCGGGGGCACAGCTTGGTTTTATCCATTTTAGGGAGACAGAAGACAACAATCAATATATGTAAGAAGTACATTGGTTCTATCTGGAAAGGCGGGACAACTTGAAGCAAAGACAGGAAGATTCAAAGCAGGGAGGGATCTTCCAGGTCACAGTTAGGTGAAACACAAACAGTGCATTCTTTTGAGTTTCTGATTAGCCTTTCCAAAGAAGGCAATCAGATATGCATCTATCTCAATGAGCAGAGGGATAACTTTGAATAGAATGGAAGGCAGATTTGCCCTAAGCAATTTCCAGCTAGTTTTTCCTAGTGATTTTGGGGCCCAAGATATTTTCCTTTCACAGGATCCATTGCTGGTGAGCTAGTGTGATCTTTTGGGGGTGTTAAAGTGCCTTGTTTTATCATATTACCAGAATTGTTTTTCTGGTTCCTTCTCATTTGGGTAGACTATGTCAGAGGGAAGATCTGGGGCTCAAGGGCTGCTGTTCAGATTCTTTTGTCCCATAGGGTGCTCCCTTGCTGTGGGGCTCTCCCCTTTCCCCTTGAGATAGGACTTCCTGAGAACCAGACTGCAGTGATTGTTATTTCTCTTCTGGGTCTAGCCACCCAGTGGAGCTACTGGGCTCTGGGCTGGTACTGAGGAGGGTCTGCAAAGAGTCCTGTGATGTGCTCCATCTTCAGATCTCTCAGCTGTGGATACCAGCACCTGCTCCAGTGGAGGTAGCAGAGGAGTGAAGCGGACTCTGTAAGAGTACTTGGTTGTAGTTTTGTTTAGCGTGCCGGTTTTCTCAAATGCTGGTTGTACTGACAGTAAAGCTATCATGTGGACAGACTTAGGACCTCTGGTTAGCCAGGATGTTACAGGCAGTGGAGTTAACCATTGTTTTCTCCTTTCTTGGGGCAGGGTTATTCTTTGATGAGTTGCTGTAACAGTTTGTGTTGGTTGGCCTCCAGCTAGGAGGTGGCGCTTTCAAGACAACTTCAGACAACTTCAGCTGCGGTAGTATGGGGGGACGCAAGCTTGCCCTAGGGTCTCCTGGATGAGCCTTCAGGTTTCTCAGGTGATGGGCGGGGCCCTAGAACTTCCATGAGTTGTACGTCTTTTGTTTTTGGCTACCAGGGCAGGTGGAGAAAGACCATCTATCTGGTGGGGGTAGAGTCAGGTGGGTCTGAGCTCAGACTCTCCTTGGGCGGGGCTTGCCGCAGCCACCTTGGGGGGGGGGGTGTGGTTCTCAGGCCATTGGAGTAGGTTCCCAGTAGGACTATGGCT
Source organism: Homo sapiens (assembly GCF_000001405.40). Classification (NCBI taxonomy): domain Eukaryota; kingdom Metazoa; phylum Chordata; class Mammalia; order Primates; family Hominidae; genus Homo; species Homo sapiens. The sequence goes on along the minus strand of NW_018654710.1, from coordinate 70,378 downwards.
GCCTCTGCTGTCATACAGGTCGCCAGGGAAGTTGCGGAAAACTGGCAGTGACGGGCCTCACCCAGCTCCCACGCAGACTGAAAGGCCAGTCTCACTCTCCCAGTGCTCCTCGACAGCACCGAGTTTATATCTAGGTGAGTTTATTTGCCAGTGAGCAGGACTGGGAACTCCCTCCACCGCCACCATACAAGCCTCGCGCCTAATAAAGCAAGCAGGGCTTTCAGGCCTTCCCCTCCTCGCTGCGGCTTCTGTGCTCCTATCTGGACTTCCTGTTTGCCCCCGACCCCAGATTCTGCTCTGGAAAATTCATGCTTGAAATCATTATAAAGTTCAGCTGGAAGTTTCCTTCTCCCTGTGGGCTTTCCCTAATTCCACTGGCAGCCCGCTCCCCACAAGGGCCCCTGTGAGATAAAGTCAGAAATGGGTTCTCTGAGCTTCCCTGGGGACCGGGAGTGCCTACAGGGCTCTTCCTGCTGCTGCTTCTACTTTTATATTTTGCTCAGCTCTCTAAATTCGCCTCAGCTCTAGGTAAGGTTAAATCCTTCTCCCATGATATGGATTTTCAGGCTCCCCAGTGAGGATGTGTGTTTGGAAAGAGACTTTCCCCCTCTCACACTCTGGGCACTCACGGTTTTTCAGCTGTGTCTTGGAGTTTGCAGCGGCAAACTCTTCTTTCAAAGGGTCTGTGAATTCTTTTGGTTTTCCTGGTATGTTCTTGCAGTAGTTCTTGGAGCAAAAGTTCACAATGTGAGTCTCCTCATGCTGCAAGTCAGCATGAGAGCTGCAAGTCAGTCCTGTCCCCCATCTGGCAGCTATTTTTATTATGCCTTCTCTTGCCATTCTTGAGAATGTCCAGTGATTGTCTTCCAAGGAAAAACTTTGTATGCTATATTTTCTACCATGCTATTTCATCATCAAATCCTAAATTATCTTTCTAGGTGTGATGAATGAGACAAAAATGCCTGGGATACTTTCCCATATCACTTTGAAGCATCAGCATCCGAAAAAGAAGCAGATGGCACACTCAATATGGATAAATTGAGGATATTTTAATAAAGGGTCTATTTATAATGGTGTAAGCCAGATTAGGGAAACTAGAAAAGAGAAAGTGTAGCACCCTGGAGCTAGCAGTGGGGGAAGCCATTACTTCCTCCCAACTCCCTAACCTAAGGCTCAAGGAAAAAGAGCAACTGTTGCAACCCAGAGAGCTTAGCCATCTAGGGAGGTCTTCTGAAAAGAGCAGTGGCCTTCAGAAGAAGGATGCAGCCAACCTGTGGAGACACAGCAATAGGGAAACAGGTGAATAAATATCCTGGCCTCACTCTTCTCCCACTCTCAGATCCCTTAATGGTATTCACCCTTGGCCAAACTCAAACCACGGGCAAACAAAGCAGTTGAGCCCCCCATAATCATGCTGTTCTTTGTTCTGTTAGATCTTGGAAAGAGTGACATCCCTCCTCCATTCTAGCTTGTCACTTTTTAGGACTTTTTTTCTCAGCCACACAAGGATGACTCAAACACCCCTAAAGTGCAATGTTTTAGCGGGGAAGAATTTTTGATGGAAGTCTAGAAGTACTGAGTGTACAAGTACCTAAATGCTTACTTCACTCAAACAACCTCTGGACCAAAGCATCTCTCTTTCCTAGTTTAGAAACTAGTGATTAGCAAGTGATTAGTAATTGACATCCAGTTTAAAAATAAAAGTTGACTTGACTGATTTCATCATTGAAACTAGTGCTAAATCCTTTGGACTCGTTTAAATATTGGATTCATAACACAACAAACATTTATTCAAATTCTACTATGGCTCAGGGCCTCCATGCATGCTATGGCTTAAGGACACAGGCACATAAGACATCAAATAGCATATTTCTTCACTCAACAAGTGTTTCTTGAGAGCTTTCTATGTGCCAAGTACTACGTGAGATTTATAGTCTAGAGGGAGGAAGGCAGAACAGTAATAACCGTAAATGAGATAATTATAATGCAAGGTGATAGTATTTTAATAGTTATGTGAGTCTATAGAGTTATAAAGGCAAAAGAGAAAAACCCTCATGGCTTGTTATGCGATGAAGCTAATGCTGAACAAATACCACATATTCCTGAGTATGGTCTTCCTGAAGACCAAATTCTTCCTTTTTTTTTTTTTTTAAGATGGAGTCTCGCTCTGTCGCCCAGGCTGGAGTGCAGTGACGCAATCTCGGCTCACTGCAAGCTCCGCCTCCCGGGTTCACGCCATTCTCCTGCCTCAGCCTCCCGAGTAGCTGGGACAGGCGCCCGCCACCATGCCCGGCTAATTTTTTGTATTTTTAGTAGAGACGGGGTTTCATCGTGTTAGCCAGGATGGTCTCGATTTCCTGACCTCGTGATCCACCCGCCTTGGCCTCCCAAAGTGCTGGGATTACACCAAATTCTTTATATACATAATTTTAGAAAATATTTAAAAATGAGTCCTTCTAGAACAACTGTATACTACTAATGCTTTGTATTTATACCACTCAAAAATGTTTGCTGGGCACAGCAGCATGGACCTCTGGTCCCAGCTTCTCAGGATGCAGAGGTGGGAGGATCTCTTGAGCTCAGGAGTTCAAGACTATAGCACACTATAATTGTGTCTGTGAGTAGCCACTACACTCCAGCCTAGGCAACATAGCAAGACCCTGCCCTTTCAAAATAAATTTTTAAATAAAAAAATTTTTAAATCTTCAGAAGGCATTGTAATGGTTAAATATCATTCATTCATTAACAAACAATTATTCAGCACTTATTATAAGCTAGCAATTTACCCCAAGTCATATGGTTCTGAAATAACAGAACCCAAGTCTGAACCCAGCCTGATTCCAAATCCACGCTAGTTCCTCCACAGTAGAGAGAAGAAGAGGAAAATTTGTGAAGGAGAAAAATATTCCTATAAATGTGAGGAACTGAGCATTTTTGTGGAAGAGGAATGAAATCAGAGTGTATCAAGTCAGGACAATAGAAGCCACTCTTTCAATCCAGGGGAATTTAATTCAGGAAATAGATTATAAAAGTGATAGAAGAGCTGAGATGCCAAACGGGGTGGTGACGTAACCCGGAGATTAGCGACAGCAAGAATCAGCTAACATCCGTGGGCTGGAGGGACAGTAGGAAGAGATGCTATTCTCAGCCTAAAAGCTAGAATTGTCTGGCTGGAAATAGAACCATTATAGAGGCTCCCTTGCAGGGGTCTGGACCATGGAGGGAGGGCCTTTCAGAGGGAGTTAGAGCCTTGAAAGAGACTCTGCTGCTGTGGAAGACATCACAGGAAGCACAGAGAGGCGGGAGAAATACCCATCCACTCATGCCTGTCCCCAGCAGAATATACAAAACTCACGGAGCAAGGAAGCCTGCAGACTAAAGGTTCCCACAGTGCAGAACGGGGCAGGGTGAGGAATCACGCTGGGCAGTTGACAGGCTCAGAGCTTCCAGGAAATATTCATGTAATTTATGTAATGTAGTTTTATGTAACCACTTACCCTATCAGTACTATCCGTTTTTCAACACTCTAGGTCTTACTTCTTGGTCTTAAAGAAAACAGAGGGCCAGGTGCAGTTGCCCATGCCTGTAATCCCAGCAATTTGGGAGGTTGAGGCAGAGGGATGGCTTGAGCCCAGGAGCTTGAGACCAGCCTGAACAACATAGCAAGACCCTCTCTCTAAAAAAAAAAAAATTTTAAAGTGAACAAACAGGCCTTGCTGCGTTTCCCCGTTTCTTACCATTAGATCATACCCTTTTTGCCCTACCACATTTCTCCACAGTGGTCCACTCTTCACTAAACCTACAATAAACAACGCTCACATTTAACTGCTTCTTTGGGTCTTCATTTCCTTATGAAGCTTCCCATGTCATGTAAAACTTAAATAAGTTTGTTAATCTATCTTTTGTGCTAAGAATCAGAAAGAGTAGAGGAAAAAATATTTTTTTCCTCCCCTACACAATTCTATGGGACAGATATTGGCGTGTCCATTTTAACAGATGAAACTCAGAGAGTGAATGACCTACCCGAAGCTCAGAAATGGTAACTGGCCAAGTAAAACTCACTCCTTTTGTAGTTCAGGAGAATGATTTGGTGTTTGTGCCTAAGTGTGATATGTGCCTCCCTCTGAACCTTGTTACAGCGCTGGCACATTACCCATCCAACCTGAACAACAACAACAACAAAACTCAGTCCTAGTTCTTCTGATCATAAGTTTAGTGCCCTTGCCACCTCAACACAACCACCTCCCCATGAGAAAGAAGCTTCTGTATTCCTTCCATACTGGGAAGGCACTGTTAAAGTTGAGTGAACTTTATCTTGTATTATTCCAGCCATCTGCTCTATGATTATGATTTTGGTATAAACCTTAAGGCTTTACCAAGGAAAATCACTATTAACTTTTTCTGCTCACCTTTTTTTCTTTTTTTTTTCGAGACGGAGTCTTGCTCTGTTGCCCAGGCTTGAGTGCAGTGGCGCGATCTCAGCTCACTGCAACCTCCGCCTCCTGGGTTCGAGTGATTCTCCTGCCTCAGCCTCCCTAGCAGCTGGGATTACAGGCACACACTACCATGCCTGGCTAATGTTTGTATTCTTAGTAGAGACGGGGTTTCACCATGTTGACCAGGCTGGTCTTGAACTCTTGACCTCGTGATCTGCCCACCTTGGCCTCCCAAAGTGCTGGGATTATAGGTGTGAGCCACCGCTCCTGGCCCTTTTCTGCTCATCTTTACCAAAATATTGAAATGTGTTTTCAAGGCTGGGTGTGGTGTCTCCCACCTGTAATCCCAGCACTTTGGGAGGCTGAGGCAGGCCGATTACTTGAGCTCATGAGTTCAAGACCAGCCTGGGAAACATGGCGAAATCCCATCTCTACAGAAAAATGCAAAAATTAGCCAGGTGTGGTGATGCATGCCTGTGGTCCCAGCTATTCAGAAGGCTGAGGCATGAGAATCACTTGAACCCAGGGGGTGCAGTGAGCAAGATCATGCCACTGTACTCCAGCGACAAGAATGAGACTCTGTCTCAAAAAAAAAAAAACAACAAAACAAACAAACAAAAAAACAAAAAATAAAAAAAGAAGAAAAGAAGCCAGATGCAAAAAAGTACATATTGTATGATTTCATTTTTATAAAATATAAAAACATGCAAAAGAACTCTATACTGTTAAAATCACAAGGGCACGGGTGGGTTTCTGGGTTTCTGGTGACATTCTGTTTCTTGATCTGTGTACTGGTTACAGGGGTGTGACCAGTTTTTGAAAATTCATTGAACTAGACACTTACAATGTGTGCACTTTTCTGTATATATGTAATACTTTAATAAACAGGGTTTTTAAGAGTAGCGTAAGTTGCTTGAAAAAAATTTGCAGGATAGATGCCTTGAATTTATATTTTCTCCTACGTGCTGCAGTCAGCTAGAGTGAAGTGTGAAAGGCTCACTCTTGACATTTGGGCCCTTCATTCCTCCTTTATTCATCCATTTAACACATATTTATTGAAGAATGGTGTCAGGCACTCGGAGGCAAACAGAGTCCCTGCCCTCATGCAGACTACAGCCTATGCAGAAAGGGAGGAGACAGACGTCAATCAAATAGTCATACGAACACACATATCAGAGATGGTGAGAGAAAGGGGGGATGCTGAGAGGCCTCTCTCAGACCTAAAGGGTGAGTAGGCTTTGGCAGAAGAGGATATTATAAAGGGAACAGTGGTCTGGTGGCTTTTAAACGTTAGGCTTAATTCGTCCAGTAGAGGGCGACCACAGCCAGGCATTTGTGGCAATTCCTACTGCATCAGGAAAGCTGAAGGCTGAAGGTTTGCTTATCATCATCTCTCACTGAGTGTTGAAGGAGCACAAACTACTCACCAGAAACTAAGAATCCAAGTGTAAATTTACAGACGTCAATGTTGCTGTCTACCATTGCCCAACAGTTTGATGCAGATTCCTACCAAATGCCTACTGACCTTAATAAAGAAAAAAGAAAAAAAGTTAATAAGGCACGATTAAAGGAATCAAAATAAAAGCCCTTTTCTTGATTTGCACACATCCTCAAAGAGCTGCCTCAAGCACAGATACATACACATGTGACGTTTTCTTATTTATTAGTACTCCCCTCCACACAAACACACAAGTGCCTCATATCTGCTGTACCCCACATCCTCTACGGAAAGCATGCTACTGTGGATCTACCTCATGGATTATTGGTTTTATTCAGGCAGCTGATGAACAAATATAATTTTATATGTTGCCTATAGACATAAGGCAAAACAATCAATAATTTCCCACATCCCATTAAATGATTAGGGATGTAATCAGGATTAAAAACCAAGATATTTCCAGCGTACTTAAGGATAGATTTCTTTAACATCTACTATATATCAGCACTAGCGAGACTCTAAGTCATGTCACTTCCTTCCTTTAAAATTAATTCCCACTGCAGGCTGGGTACAGTGGCTCATACCTGTAATCCCAGCACTTTGGGAGGCCAAGGTGGGTAGATCACCTGAGGTCAGGAGTTTGAGACCAGCCTGGCCATTATGATGAAACCTCATCTATACTACAACTACAAAAATTAGCCAGGCATGGTGGCACACGCCTGTAATCCCAACTATGCAGGAGGCTGAGGCATGAGAATCACTTGAACCCAAGAGGCAGAAGTTGCAGTGAGCTGAGATCATGCCACTGCACTCCACCCTGGGTGATAGAGTGAGACTCAGTCAAAAAAAAGAAAAAAATCCCAATGCAATTAAAAATTTTCAGTTTTTTAAAAAATGAAAGCAATTCTCTGACAGGTAAAGGCCTGTGTGGTCTAGCCATTATCTATTATCCCAGACTAATCTCCTTTCCTTCTCATTATGTTTCAGACTTTCTTGTTTCCATGAAATTGCCATTTTCCATTTGCTGTTTCCCTTGCCTGAAACATTCTGCTTCCATCATCTAACTGGAGGCTTCTTATCATTCAAGTTCCAAATTGTTGCTTCCTAGGAAAAGACCTCTTTGACCACTCATTCCTGTCTGCCCTTCCCAACATGCAAAACAGAACCCTGATCTTTGGCTGGAAATGTTTTGGGTTTTGTTTGTTTGTTTGTTTGTTTGTTTGTTTGATGGAGACAGAGTCTCTCTCTGTCGCCCAGGCTGGAGTGCAGTGGCATGATCTCAGCTCACTGCAACCTACGCCTTCCGGGTTCAAGCAATTTTCATGCATCAACCTCCCGAGTAGCTGGGATTACAGGCATGCGCCACCATACCCAGCTAATTTTTGTATTTTTTGTAGAAACGGGGCTTCACCATGTTGGCCAGGGTGATCTCGAACTCGTGGTCTCAGGTGATCCACCTGCCTTGGCCTTCTAAAGTGCTGGGATTACAGGTGTGAGCCACTGCGCGCGGCCTAGCTGGAAACTTTCCTGCCCAGTATATCAGTCATATTTCTCAGCCTCACTAGCAGCAGGATGTGGCCATGTTTCTGGCTAATGGGATGTAAACGGATATGTTCAGTGGGACTTCCTAGAAGCTTCCTTAAAGGGAAGCAGACAGGCCAGAGGAGGTGCCTCATGACTAGAATCCCAGCACTTTGGGAGGCTGAGCTGGGAGGATCACTTGAGGCCAGGAGTTTGAGACCAGCCTGGGCAACATAGTAAGACACCATCTTTACAAAATATAAATTTTTTCTTTTTTTTTTTTTGAGATGAAGTCTCGTTCTGTCGCCCAGGCTGGAGTGCAGTGGCACGATCTCAGCTCACTGCAAGCCCCACCTCCCGGGTTCACGCCATTCCCCTGCCTGAGCCTCCTGAGTTGCTGGGATTATAGGTGTGCACCACCATGCCCAGCTAATTTTTTTTGTATTTTTAGTAGAGACGGGGTTTCACCATGTTAGCCAGGATGGTCTCGATCTCCTGACCTCGTGATCCACCCGCCTTGGTCTCCCAAAGTGCTGGGATTATAAGCGTGAGCCACCGCGCCCAGCCTGTTTTCGTTTTTCGTTTTTTTTTTCTTATTAGCCAAGTGTAGTGGTTCATGCCTGTAGTCCCAGCTACTCGGGAGGCCGAGGTTGGAGGATGGCTTGAGCCCAGGAGTTCAAGGATACAGTGAGTGAGCTATGATTGCCTCACTGCACTCCAGCCTGGGCAACAGAGTGAGAACTCATCTCAAAAAAAAAAAAGTGGAGAGAAAAAAGGGGGAAGCAAACAGCTCTTCTTCCTATTTTCCCCTCTCCTGCTATCTGGAATGCAGACGTGATCACTGGAGCTCCTGAAAACACCTTGGATGCTGAGATGGCAGTGAGGATGGGAGGAAGAGCAGGTAGGGGCCTGGCTAATGGCACTGTGGGATGGGGGTGGAGTGTGCAATACCAGCCTCTAGATAACTTTGACGTGAAAAAAAAAACAAGTTTCTATCTAATTTAATACACTGTTATTTGCAGCTTGACTGTTACATGCCGCTAAACCTCAATACTAACTAAAAATATCACAGCCATCCCCAGACACATCACCTTATTTCTTCAGTGTCATTTCATTATTGGAAATACCTGGATCATTGTGTTTATCTGAGAGTAGGGATCTGGCCTGTCTTGTTCATTGCTGCATCCCCAGCATCTGCTGCAATGTGATGTTTCCATGCCTTCCCAGAATTTCAAGAAATAAATTGTAATGATCTTCATGGAAATGTTACTGGTCAGGAATTCCATCGATATCAACAGCTAGTGATGGTGCAGCAGTAACGAAAAAATTTGGAAAGTTTTCAGCAAATGTGTTCCTTCTTGCTGTAACAAAAGTGTTTTACTCAAAAACTGGAGGTTACAGCATCAGAAACAACTGGCAGAGGAGGTGAACACAGTGTAGTCTGTCTATGACACAGATGAAAGCAATTACTCTGATTCAGATGATGTGGCTGGAGCCAGTCAGTATAATCCACAAGGTCGTGTCTTTCTGGCAATTTTTAGAAAAAGGAAAGTTGTAAAACTGTTTACATTTTCTCCAATAAGAAATTCTCTCTTGCATAAAGAAAGAAAAAAAACACAGGCCGGGCACAGCAGCTCACACCTGTAATCCCAGCACTTTGGGAGGCCAAGATGGAAGGATAACTTGAGCTCAGAAATTTGAGACCAGCCTGGGCAGCATAGCGAGCCCCTGTCTCTGCTAAAAATAAAAAAATAGCTGAGTGTAGTGGTGCACACCTGTAGTCCCAGCTACTCAAGAGGCTGAGCCAGAAGGATCACTTGAGCCCAGGTGTTAAGGCTTGCAGTGAGCTATGATCGTGCCACTGCACTCCAGCCTGGGTAACACAGTAAGACCTTGTCTTAAAAAAAGAAGAAAGGGGGCCAGGCACAGTGGCTCATGCCTCTGTAATCCCAGCACTTTGGGAGGCCAAGGCGGGCAGATTACCTGAGGTCAGGAGTTCGAGATCAGCCTGACCAACATGGTGAAACCCTGTCTTTACTAAAAATACAAAAATTAGCTGGGCATGGTGGTGGATGCCTGTAATCCCAGCTACTTGGGAGCCTGAGGCAGGAGAATTGCTTGAGCCCAGGAGGCGGAGTTTGCAATGAGCTGAGATCACGCCATTGCACTCCAGCCTGGGCGACAAGAGTGAGACTCTGTCTAAAAAAAAAAAAAAAGGAAGGGAGGAAGTAGGGGGGGCAGGAAGAAAGGAGAGAGAAAATGGAATATTGTCAAATTGTGAGAGAGACAATAACTTGCTTAAAACTTGTTTGATTAGTAGTTGAAGCATTAAGTAATCATGATGCAAATCTTCTAATCGAAAACAGGCTTGTGCTTTGAGTAGTATGCTTTTAAAAGAAGTTAGAATTGAATTATTTAATGCAGAAAAAAGATCTCATATTTCTCATTAAAATATTTCAGCAGTTAGTTTATATGAGGTTGACAACTCTTTTTGCTTCAGCAAACAAAAATGAAATGGCTCAATTAGCAAAATCATTAAGGAAAGACTTTTGTGGAGGAAAATATGCTTTATCAGAAGCAATGCAAAGAAGAGTGAATATTGTTGGGAACTATTCCATCACGAAGTCAGAAACATCTAAAATCTGAATTAGCGAAAATAACATAGACTTCAAGGAAAAAAATCAAAACCAGTGAAAGAAGACAATTATTTTCATCATTAAGAAAAGTGAATGAGTTTATAATAACCAACACGTACCCTAATGCTCAATTCGAAGAAGCTTGTAGACACATTCTTAGTAATAATAAATTAACATTAACAGAGGATGAAAAAACATTCTACACCTGGAATATTTGTCAGGAAACAAGGACCAAGACATTCAGGGCAATTCATGCTTTATGTGTTTTTCAATTTCATTTTAAGAATAACTTTTGGCCGGGCGCAATGGCCCACGCCTGTAATCCCAGCTCTTTGAGAAGCCAAGGCGGGCAGATCATGAGTTCAGGAGTTTGAGACCAGCCTGGGCAGCATGGTGAAACCCTGTCTCTACTAAAAATACAAAAATTAGCCGGGCGCAGTGGCATGAGCCTGTAATCTCAGCTATTCGGGAGGCTGAGGTAGGAGAATTGCTTGAACCTGGGAGGCGGAGGTTGCAGTAAGCCGAGATTGCACCACTGCACTCCAGCCTGGGTGACAGAGCAAGACTCCGTCTCCAAAAAAGAATAACTTTTAAAATGTAAATGTTTGCAGTATTATCTTTCAATTGTTTGAATCATTTTATTTGGCATTATTGTGTGTTAATGTTCCCTTCTTTTAATATATTCTATTGTCTAACTCAGGTAGAAATTATTTTTATGGGTCATTGAAATGTAGTGTAATCTTGTCTCAATATATATGTCCATAATAATAATAAACCATATAACCCATGCATTTATTATCACTGTCTGGGGGGATTTCTTGTTTGTTTTGGTTGCAGAAAGCTTTAGAAACTTTTTGTATAATCCCATCACAGAAAAATGGTCCGCTATTTACTAGTGTAGTCAGTCATTGTTTTTAAAAACATACCAAGAAGATGTTATGGGGAAATGTAGATAACTTATGATTTTGAGGATCACCAAGAATTCTCAAGAATTCTAGTTTTTTGTTCCAGAATCCTGCAGATTAATAACTCTTAGAAATTATCAAACACTAGTACAGTGCCTGGGATAGAGTAGACATCAGCATATATTTAGAATGAATGGGTATTATTTTGTTTAATAGTCACAGCAATCCTGTCAAGAAGATGCAAATGTGCCCATTTTACTCATTAGAAATACCTGGATCTCCTTTGAGGTTCCTGTGAGACAACACCTTTAGGAGTCTTAAAAGTTCTATTGTTTACTGAGATGGTCTATGAGGCACATCCTTGAGATTCTTAGACATACTACTAGGCCTGCCCTTAAATTTTTCTGACAAAGCATCTTATTCTGGATTTGATCTTAGGCCCTAGAGATATTTATTATTTGGGAATCTTTTAATGGAAAAGACCAGGGATAAGCAACAGTTTTATTTTATAACCCAATATTTGTACTTTTCCATTTTTGCTAAGAACTTGAACAATTTTTCTTTTTTCTTTCTTTTTTTCTTTTTTTTTTTTTTTTTTGAGACAGAGTCTCACCCTGTCGCCCAGGCTGGAGTGCAGTGGCGTGATCTCAGTTCACTGCAACCTCCGCCTCCCGGGTTCAAGTGATTCTACTGCCTCAGCCTCCCAAGTAGCTGGATTTACAGGCGTGCACCACCACACCCTGCTAATTTTTTATATTTTTAGTAGAGACAGGGTTTCACCACATTGGCCAGGCTGGTCTTGAACTCCTGATCTCGTGATCCTCCTGCCTCGGCCTCCCAAAGTGCTGGGATTAGAGGCATGAGCCACTGCACCGAGCCCACAATTTTTCTTTAGATCATCTCTCCTGTCTCATATTTTGTCATAGGCAACTGAAAAAAGCCAGTTGGCACCTTCTACATTCTGCTTGGACATCTCTCTAGCCAACCCCACAAGCTGTTAAGCACTCTTTCTGTTTTCCACGTTCCCATAGGCGACAGTGTCCTCACACTTTCTGTCGCTACATAAAGAGTCCTCTGTTTTCCAGCCCCTATAAATACTTTGCTCAGTCTTTCACACCCTCACCCATAGTCTCCTCCTGGCTTTTTCTGCTTCTCCCTGACACTCTGTCCCAAAGCCAGTGCCATATGGTTTGGGTATTCGTTATGATAGCACCCCACTTCCAAGTACCAAATTCTGCCCAAGTATCTATTATTACTGCACAATACTGTAGTGGCTTGAAACAACCATTTATCATGACTATCTTCAAACAGGGCACAGCAAGGGACAGCTCATTTCTGCTCCAGAATGCCTGAGGCCTCAGCTGCAAGACTGGAATAGCGGGGGGACCAGAACAACCAGGGGTTGGCTGGGCATCTGTTTCTCTTTCTCCCTCTGTCTGTCTGTCCCTCCCCACCCGCCTTTCCACAGTTTCTTCCTGCAGCCACCTTAGGCTTCCTTATTCGATGGCAGCCTCTGGGTAGTCAGACTCTCACAGGGAAGCTCGGGGCTCCAATCAATGTCCTAAGAGACAGGAAATGGAAGCTGCCAGTCTCTTAAAGCCAAGCTTGGAAACCAGTACAGTGCCACTCCCCGGATATTCTACTGGTCAAAGCAGTCAGACTCGAGGGGAGGAGACATAGGTCCCATTTCTCAATGGGAGCAGTGTCAAAGAAGGTATAGTTGTCTTTCACCTATTATTATTCACCTATTTTACTATGGTTATAATAATATGGTAAAATAATATGGTAAAGCTTTGTGATAACAAAGATTATAAAACTTTATTATTATTATTATTATTATTATTATTATTATTATTATTACTGAGAGGGAGTCTCACTTTGTTGCCCAGGGTGGAGTGCAGTGGCACGATCTCAGCTCACTGCAACCTCTGCTACCCAGGTTCAAGCGATTCTCCTGCCTCAGCCTCCCAAGTAGCTGGGATTACAGGCACCTGCCACTGTGCCTGACTAATTATTGTAGTTTTAGTAGAGACGGGGTTTCACCATCTTGGCCAGGCTGGTTTTGAATTTCTGACCTTGTGATCCACCCGCCTCAGCCTCCCAAAGTGCTGGGATTACAGAGGTGAGCCACCATGCCTAGCCAAAACATTATTATTATTATTATTATTATTATTATTATTATTATTGAGAGAGGGTCTTGCTATGTTGCCCAGGCTGATCTTGAACTCCTGGCCTCAAGCGATCCTCCAGCCTTGGGTTCCCTAAGTGCTGGGATTACAGGCATGAGCCACTGTGCCTGGCCAATTCAGATATTATTTAACTCCTGCCCAAACCCACTCTTAAAAGGGGGCATCCTCAAGTTCCTATCTTCTACACGGTGGTGTCTTGTGATCATTCTGAGACTCTCAGTTCCGCATATGAAGCACACCGTTTGAAAGAGTTGGTGTGCAGAATAGTTTTCATTCATCTCTCTAGGGTAATGCTTTGTCCCTTCCTCACCTGCTCTGTGTCCCAGGAGGCAGGTCTTTCCCTGTAGGCTTCCAGTTGATTTCAGCCACTGGATGACAACAGAAGTTCCATGGAGGAGGTAAGGGAGCGTGAGAGTGCTGGTTTTATTCCCCAGCTTCATCCCAGCTGAGTCATTGTGGTTTGGCTTTCTGGCTCTCCAGGCAGCATTCTCCATTTAGCTACACCATATTCTCTGTCAATTAGTTCAGGCCTAGACCAATAATATCTTCCTGGTTCTTGCTAACTTCAGGATACTGCACCATTCTTTGTGAGGTTCCCTTAAACCTGATTCTTTATTAAATTCCTCTAAATTATTCTATTTGGGTCTTCTGTTCACCGACAGAGACGGATACAGACGGTCTACTTCTGATATAACTAACACTTTAAAACTCTCCCTACTTTTTTTTTTTTTTTTTTTTTTTTTAAGTCAGGGTCTGGTTGTGTTGCCCAGGCTGGAGTGCAATGGTGCAATCTCAGCTCACTGCAGCTTCTGCCTCCCTGGTTCAAGCGATTCTCCCACCACAGCCTCCTGAGTAGCTGGGACCACAGGTGTGTGCCACCACATCAGGCTAATTTTTGTATTTTTTGTAGAGATGGGGTTATCGCCATATTGCCTAGGTTGGTCTCAGACTCCTGAGCTCAAGTGATCCACCCACCTCGGCCTCCCAAAGTGCTGAGATTACAGGCATAATCAGCCTTTTTCTTATCAGAATTGTGTATTAATGTAGTTTTCCCATTTTTTAAATCAGGCTTTTGATCCTTTGTCCTTCCATTTATTTAGAGTTCTTTACATATTAAGAATATTATACTTTTATCTGTAATACAGCTCACTGCTTATTGTGTTTTATTTTTCTTTTTGTGGGAAACAGGGTCTCATTCTGTTGTCCAGACTGGAGTGCAGTGGCACAATCACAGTTCACTGCAAACTCAACCTCCTGGGCTCAAGCAATCCTCCCACCTCAGCCACCCCAGTAGCTGGGACTAAAGGCACGCACTGCCATGCCCAGCTGATTTTTTTTCATTTTTAAATTTTGAGATAGAGTCTTACTCTGTCACCCAGGCTGGAGTGCAGTGGTGAGATCTCGGTTCACTGCAACCTCCGCCTCCCGGATTCAAGCAATTCTCCTGCCTCAGCTGGGATTACAGTAGCTGGGATTACAGGCACCTGCCACAACGCCCAGCTAATGTTTTGTATTTTTAGTAGAGATGAGGTTTCACCATGTTGGCCAGGCTGGTCTCGAACTCCTGACCTCAAGTGATCTGCCTGCCTTGGCCTCCCAAAGTGCTGGGGTTACAGGCATGAGCCACCATGCCTGGCTTGTGCTCATTGTTTTTTGACTTTGTTTACAGTGGGGTATTTAGCCATGCCCCCAAAAAATTATTTTTATTTTTAATGTAGTCAAATTTATTAACATTTTCTTTTATTGCCTCTAGATTTTGAGGCTTTCTCTATATCAAGGTTAAAGAAGAATTCACCCATGTTTTCTTCTAGCACTTGTGTGATTTTGTATTTTACATTTAGATTCCTACTTTGAATTTATTCTTCAATATGGTGTGACGTATGAATTTAATTTTATCTTTTTCCAAATGTACCATCTGTCCCAGAACCGTTTATTTAAAAGCTTATCTTTGTAGAACTTGAGGATAACTGGTAGATTTTAAAAAATAATAACAAAAGTTTATCTTTGACCCAATGGTTTGAGATGCCAGTTCTTCATATAGTCAATTACCATATGTGTTTCTTTCTATTTCTGGACTTTTTATTCTGCTGCATTAGTCTACTTGTCTAGTCATGGGACAGTACCACTGTGTGTTAATTATAAAAGGCTTTATAGTGTGTTTTAATATCTGTTAGTCTACTTCAAAGTTTTGTGTGTTTTTAAATGTTTCCCTGGCTATTTTTACATGTTTCTCCATATAAACTTTAGTATCAACTTGTATGGCTTCATTTAAAAAGCTAGCTGCTATTTTTATTGGGATTATGATCGTTAATAAATTGACTTGGACAACTGACATCTTTGTGCTGCTTAGTCATCCTATCCAAGAACAGGAAATGTTTTAATTATTAGGGGCTTTATAGAATATTTTAATATGTGGCAGGCTACTCCCTGCTAAAAGTTTTTCTTTTTTATTGGTTTCTCGACTATTCTTGCTTATTTTTAAAATATAAACTTTAGTATTAATTTGTTTGGCTCCATAGGAAAGTTTGGTGGTATTTTCATTGGAATTGTGATAAATCGACTTAGGAAGAAGTAACAAGGCCCCCAGATCTGATCACTTCAAAATAGATATTTTGAATGTAAACACACACACACACACGCACACACACACACACGCACACCAGAACCTAAAAATTCATTCCAGATGTGGAAAGGATCAATGTCATTCAATTTAGCAAATATTTATGTATTACCTGCTATTTGCAAATTACTATAATAAAATATAACATGAGTCACTGTCTCTGTTCTCAAGAAGATAAGCACCTGAAGGGGGCGATAAGCACTTACTGATTATAGTGAGCCTGCACAGCATTTAGTGCAGTGTCTTTTGGGGTGAGCATCTCTCTACGCCACATAAATCTACAGCCCAAATATCTATGTGCAGCACTTGGATATATCCACAGCAATCCATGGCAAAAATGCAATTTGCTTTTTCTTGCATCTGCTGCATGTTATTATAACTTCTTATTCTCTAGGGCTCTTAATCACGTCTAACATTGATCCTCACTCCCAAAATGTTCTCTCTCATAGGAGAAGAAAAGATTAAGATGAGACCATTCATTTATTCTATAAATATTCCTTGAGTACCTTCCGTATGTGAAGAATTGCTCTTGGAGCTGAACTCTTAGTGGATTACAAGAAAGACCACATCCCTGCTTGAGGAGATTCCATTCTAGAGACAGAGACAGTTCAGGCAGAAACAAACAAGTTGAACGATACAACATAATTGCAGGGTGAGGAGGTCTGTATGGAAGAAGAAGGCAGGGAAAGGAGATGAAGGGCAAGGTGCCCTTTTGGATAGGACAGTGAGGGAAAGCCTTGCTGGGGAGAAAGAATTCGGGCAGACTTGAATGATGTGAATGGGGGAATCACATGAAGGTCCTTGGAGAAGACCCTGCCATGCACAAGGAGCATCTGCAGAGCCCGGGGGCCACACAGCCAGAAGAGAAAGCAAGGGAGAGACAGGGAGAAAAAGGGCTTCAGGTGCACAGTGCCTAGAGCAAGTAGGTACTCCAGGTTCCCCAAAAGGAGTTTGGATTTTGTTCTGCGAGAAAGGATGCTTTTTTGCAGGGGTATGACACGTGTGATCTTTAAATTTGGCTGCCATGGAGAAAATGGACTGTAGTGAGGGGGAAAGGGGGAGGCTGGTCAGAAGTCACTGTGCTGATCATGTGACAGATGACAGGGGCTTGGACCAGGGGACCACAGAGGACAAAAAAAGAAGCAAAGTGGAAGAATGTGGGAATTTTTTTGGAAGACAAACTAACAGGACTTACAGATGGACTGAATTTGGGAGTGGAGGGAGAGGAAGAGCCCAGGGTGGCTCTCTAGTTTTTGGTTTGAGTAACTGGGCGAATACCAGTACCATGTATTAAAAAGAGGTGACTATTGGAGAAGGAGCAGGTTTGGGGCAAAACCATAGAGATCTATTTTAGACACATTATTCAAGATACTTGGTTACTTCCCACTAAGTTTTAATAACCTAGCATAAGTTATATTGTCCTTTTCTATTCTTCTTTCATCCCCAATTAGAGTTGTTCCCAGGACAGTGTTTAACCTAAATGTGAAAGAAGATATGGCAAATCATCATTTGATCATTTCTGAAGGTCTCAAGCATTATCCTTCTATAAAAAGGATTAAATAAGGCCGGGTGAGGTGTCTCACGCCTGTAATCCCAGCACTTTGGGAGGCCAAGGCGGGCAGATCACCTGAGGTTGGGAGTTTGAGACCAGCTTGACCAACATGGAGAAACCCCGACTCTACTAAAAATACAAAATTAGCCAGGCATGGTGATGCACGCCTGTAAGCTACTCGGGAGGCCGAGGCAGGAGAATCGCTTGAACCCGGGAGGCGGAGGTTGCAGTGAGTCGAGACCATGCCATTGCACTCCAGCCTGGGCAACAAGAGCGAAACTCTGTCTCAAACAAACAAACAAAAAGGATTAAATAGTCTGGGTGGAGTGGCTCACGCCTGTAATCCCAGCACTTTGGGAGGCCAAAGTAGGCAGATTGCTTTGAGTTCAGGAGTTCGAGCCTGGTCAACATAGTGAAACCCCATTTACACACACACAGACAAACACACAAATCAGCCAAGCATGGTGGCTCACACCTGTAGTCCCAGCTACTTGGGAGGCTGAGGCTAGAGAATTGCTTGAGTCTGGGAAGCAAAGGTTGCAGTGAGCTGTGATCACGCCACTGCACTCCAGCCTGGATGACAGAGCGAGACCCTGTCTCAAAAGAAAAAGGGGGGAGGGATTAAATAAATATTGTCATTGATAGCAAAAGCTGTTTGGATCTAGTTGATGATATAATCTAGATACATGTCCTTGCCCAAACCTCATGTTGAAATGTAATCCCCAGTGTTGGAGATGGGTCCTGATGGGAGGTGTTAAGGTCATGGGGGCAGATTTCTCATGGCTTGGACCTGTCCTGGAGATAGTGAGTGAGTTCTCATGAGATCTGGTAATTTAAAAGTGTGTGGTACCCCCACCTTCACTCTCTCTCTCTTGCTCTTGCTTTTGCCGTGTGAAGTGCCAGCTCCCACTTCACCTTCCACCATGAATAAAAGCTCCCTGAGGATTCACCAGAAGCCAAGCAGATGCCAGCACCATGCCTCCTGTATAGCCTGCAGGAATATGAGCCAATTAAATCTCTTTCCTTTATAAATTACCCAGTCTCAGGTATTTCTTTATAGCAATGCAAGAATGGCCTAATACAGCTGATTTCAACTATAGTCAAGGAGGGGAAAAAAGTAAGTGGAGGTTAAACAAAGTTGTTTGCCGTTTTTCACATAATCAGGAGCAGAGATAAAGTTATAACTTGCAAGTGGCTCTATTCAGGCTGATGGTGCACGATCACAGTGCTTTGGTTACCTGGTGGGCCTCATGGGCTGAGGCCTCAAAGGCATAACCAGGCCCTATTGTGATCTCTGCATTGGAAACATGGGACCTTTTTTCAGCATCTGCCATCCACAAGACACTGTGCCCAGGACTTTCACCATGTCTCATAAGGTAGCCCTACTATTATTCCTAGGCAGCTCTTTATTCCCAGAGGGTTTGCCTTGACTTCTTAGATATAATGGATCATTTGAGTTTTGCTTGTGAAATTGTGAAAAGTCTTTAAGAGCAAACACATACCTCAATGAGACCATAAAGGGGTTAAGGCATGTGCAGTGCTTTGAGGTGTTCAGGTGAAAAGCTCTCAGTAGTATTAATTATTATTCTTTTAGTTAAAAGTAGCTCTTTTTTTATATATATACTTTAAGTTCTAGGGTACACGTGCACAACGTGCAGGTTTGTTACATATGTATACATGTGCCGTGTTTGATTGCTGCACCCATTAACTTGTCATTTACATTAGGTATTTCTCCTAATGCTATCTCTCCCCTATCCCCCCACCCCACGACAGGCCGGGGTATGTGATGTTCCCTGCCCTGTGTCCAAGTGTTCTCATTGTTCAATTCCCACCTATGAGTGAGAACATGTGGTGTTTGATTTTCTGTCCTTGCGATAGCTTGCTCAGAATGATGCTTTCCAGCTTCATCCATGTCGCTACAAAGGACATGAACTCATCCATTTTTATGGCTGCATAGTATTCCATGGTGTATATGTGCCACATTTTCTTTTTTTTAATATATATATATTTTTTATTATATTTTAAGTTCTAGGGTACATGTGCACAACATGCAGGTTTGTTACATATGTATATATGTGCCATGTTGGTGTGCTGCACCCATTAACTCGTCATTTACATTAGGTATATCTCCTAATGCTATCCCTCCCCCCTCCCCCCTCCCCACACCCCAAAACAGTCCGGGGTGTGTGATGTTCCCCTTCCTGTGTCCAAGTGTTCTCATTGTTCAATTCCCACCTGTGAGTGAGAACATGCGGTGTTTGGTTTTTTGTCCTTGGGATAGTTTGCTGAGAATGATGGTTTCCAGCTTCATCCATGTCCCTACAAAGGACGTGAACTCATCATTTTTTATGGCTGCATAGTAATGTGCCACATTTTCTTAATCCAGTCTATCACTGATGGACATGTGTGTTGGTTCCAAGTCTTTGCTATTGTGAATAGTGCCACAATAAACATACTTGTGCATGTGTCTTTATAGCAGCATGATTTAAAATCCTTTGGGTTTATACCCAGTAATGGAATCACTGGGTCAAATGGTATTTCTAGTTCTAGATCCTTGAGAAATCGCCATACTGTCTTCCACAGTGGTTGAACTAGTTTATACTCCCACCAACAGTGTAAAAGCATTCTTATTTCTCCACATCCTCTCCAGCATCTGTTGTTTCCTGACTTTAATGATCACCATTCTAATCATTGTGGTTTTGATTTGCATTTCTCTGATGACCAGTGATGATGAGCATTTTTTCATGTGTCTGTTGGCTGCATAAATGTCTTCTTTTGAAAACTGTCTGTTCATATCCTTTGCCCACTTTTTGATGGGGTTGTTTGATTTTTTCCTGTAAATTTGTTTAAGTTCTTTGAAGATTCTGGATATTAGTCCTTTGTCAGATGGGTAGATTGCAGAAATTTTCTCCCATTCTGTAGGTTGCCTGTTTACTCTGATGGTAGTTTCTTTTGCTGTACAGAAGCTCTTTAGTTTAATTAGATCCCATTTGTCTATTTTGGCTTTTGTTGCCATTGCTTTTAACAAAACAATAAGTAAAACATGAGTCCACAAAAAGCTGTGAGAGGGATATACCTTATAAAGACCTTGGGTTCTTTCGGCTCTTGGCTTGGAGGAGGCCAAGGTGCAACTTTCTTCCGTCATCCTGAATCCGGGTTCATCCATCACCAGCCACCTCCACCATGCTGCAGAAGTTCGACCCCAACGGGATCAAAGTCGTATACCTGAGGTGCACTGGGGGTGAAGTCAGTGCCACGTCTGCGCTGGACCCCAAGATCGGCCCACTGGGTCTGTCTCCAAAAAAGATTGGTGATGACATTGCCAAGGCAATGGGTGACTGGAAGGGCCTGAGAATTACAGTGAAACTGACCATTCAGAACAGACAGGCCCAGATTGAGGTAGTGCCTTCTGCCTCTGCCCTGATCATCAAAGCCCTCAAGGAACCACCAAGAGACAGAAAGAAACAGAAAAACATTAAACACAGTGGGAATATCACTTTTGATGAGATCATCAACATTGCTTGACAGATGCAGCACCCATCTTTACCCAGAGAACTCTCTGGAACCATTAAGGAGATCCTGGAGACTGCCCAGTCTGTGAGCCATAATGTTGATGGCCACCAACCTCATGACATCATAGATGACATCAACAGTGTTGTTGTGGAATGCCCAACTAGTTAAGAAGCACAAAGGAAAATATTTCAATAAAGGATCATTTGACAACTGGAAAAAAAAAAACACCACCTTGCGTTCTGCAGTCAATTCTCCCTGCCTAAGTGAAAATCCCTGATATTTTGTGAATGATGGGACACAGTCATTCCAGTCCCCAGCACTAAGTCATAGTACATAGAGCAGGGCAGAATATCTGTAGCTACTGTGAATGAAATTATTTTGAATTTTGTGGGAAAAGAACAGTGGGATTGGGCCAGGAAGGAATGATTTACATTTTAAGCATCAAATGTGTGAATATTTTTTTCCAAAAATATAGTCTTCTTTTATTATAAGAAAAGTAATACAAGTTTTACATAGAAAATTTAAAAATACAGACTATTTTTTTTTTTTTTTGAGACAGTCTTACTTTGTCGTCCAGGCTGGAGCGTAGTGGCGCGATTTCGGCTCACTGCAACCTCTTCCTCCCAGGTTCAAGCGATTCTCCTGCTTCAGCCTCACGGGTAGCTGGGATTACAAGTGCCCACCACCATGCCTGGCTAATTTTTGTATTTTTAGTAGAGATGGGGTTTCACCATGTAGGCCAGACTGGTCTCCAACTCCTGGCCTCAAGTGATCCGCCCGCCTCAGCCTCCCAAACTGCTGGGATTACAGGCATGAGCCACCATGCCCAACCAGAATATTATTTTTTAAATGACATTTAAATTAATTTTAACCACTACTGAGATAATCACTATTAATATTTTATTTATATACTACAAATATATATGTGTATGTGTATGTATATTTATATATAATCATCTTTTAGAAATATCGACTTCTATGAGTGTATTCTTTAAGAGAACATAATTTGAAAACTAAAAGATCAACTTTTGAAAACCTTTGTTATTGGGAAAGTTGCCTAGCCAGATATAATAACAATTACTGGCATTTTATAGCATCTTATGTGAATTCTCTCTTTTATTACTAAAAATAGCTATTGTTATTAACATAATAATAATTATTATTGACATATTAGTAACAGAAGAAAGAATACCTTGCTGGGAGGCATAAGTCCCAGTTCAAAGTTACGATTAGATACAAAGCCGTGAAATACTTTGAGCCTGAGTTTCCTCAAGTATATAATAAGCATCTTGGACTAAATGAAGCCTGAGGCCTCTTCCAGTTTTAAAATCCTACCCAAGTCTTATTTTAGAATAGGGGCACTTACTGAGATGCATTTGCTGAGATGCAAATTTACTTTCAAATATTTTATCTAAAATGCACCTGTTTTCAAGCTAAGAAAAATGGATCACATTTTGAAGAAAATTCGAAGGCTTTGAAGATGGGGCCTATTTACAGAGACCAATTTATTTCTCTGCATTATTTTAACATGCAACTCTTCTCCAGTCCTGAAGCTTCCTAAGTATCTGAGGCTTCGAAAAGTGGGGGTAGAGACAGCTTATTACCATGGAGATAGATGGGAGCAAACGGTCACATCATCAAAAGCAAACTAGAAATGTACAAAGCTTTTGTGATGCTGATCCTTTTTTTTTTTTAAGTAAGAAGAAGAAGGGAAAAAGGCACAAATAAAAGGACAGATCTCTCTCATTAAATCCAACACAATTTAGTAATCAGTGAAATAAAGATACCCTTGAAAGCCTGCTGCCAGAAAATACAGTACAACAAAGAAGCACAAAAGGTTGCTGGCTGCCAGGTATAATTTCCAGGTACTCCAAGTGCATTTGGACTCCCTGTTCTCTTAGCTTTGCTTTGCAGATTGGCCGTCTTCGTGGTAGGCTCGAAGTATCCATTTAGTCACCCTAGTGTGTTATCCAAATATTTAGAAGGAGAAAAATTGTGGGAAAATAACCTTTAATTTTACAATTCTCCAAAGGAAACTGTTCAAAATTAAGAGGTCTAAGAAGCTAAGAATGAGTGTTAATCTATTTTTCTGTTTATTACCTATCACTTTGGATAATCTGGAAATAATTTTGACAGTGGGATAAAAGTTGAAGTTGGGGTAAGAGTCCAAATTTTCGCAAAGTAGCTTACATCAGAATAAAGTCGCTGTCAATTAGATTGCTTGCATATAGATATGCGAGCTGTTACCCCTATCCATTACATAATCTTACTCCAGCAGGGGCTGCCAAAAACCTGTAGGCAGGAAAGATTTACACTCAGTTCTTCATAAGTACCCAAAAGAAAAGAAATCACTTTAGAATGATTATATAAGTTAAAGAACATGGCCAAGTTTGTGCCTTGAACTTTTAGTCTATCAATTAGCAATAGTAATTGCATACTGCTGAGATGTTTTAGAGACTGAGATGGTGTTTTAAAAGTGTTTTGTGCTATTCAGAGGGAAATGCAATTTACGTCATATTTTAGAATGTGAATTATGAAGGAAATTGTCTCTTTTTCTTCCTTATTCCCCTCTTCCCCCTCCTCTACCTCCTTCTCCTCCTCCTCTTCCTTTTCCTCTTCAGATTTTCCCTCTTTGCCTACAACATTAAGAGAGACTATTCACATTATAAAGACATTGATTTCCTTAAATGATCTGTAAATTCAATGTATATGCCAAATAAAACACCAAGGTGATTTTTTTCAACCTGACAAAAATAACACTAAAGTTCTTCAAGACATATAAATGGGCAATTAGAAAAACTCTGAAAAACAAGAGTAGTGAGAGGGTAATTAATACAACTATACATTAAAATGTATCATGGAGTTATAATAATTAAAATATCTTATTCTAGAGAAGAAATAGAATAGCTAAATAGAATAGAATGGAATAGAAGAGAATCAACAGAAATAAACCCAAATACGTATACAGATTTAATGTGTGAAAAAGGTAGATGAGTCGAATTTATAGGGGAGGGATGGGAGAAGGGAAGATGTATTAATCAATAGACAGTGATGAGAAAACTGGCTAGGAATGGAAAATAAAATAAAATGGATTCTTTACCATGCTCTTTATATTCCCAAATTTCCAGAGGATTCAAAGATAGCAATATAATACATACTCTATGGCCATACCACTCTGAATGCCCCCAATCTTATCTGATCTCAGAAGCTAAGCAGGGTTAGGTCTGGGGGCCTGCTTAATACTTGGATGAGAGAAATGTAATATAAACAAGTAAGTGTATATATGTGTATATATATGTATATATACACACACACACATACACATGCATAAGTATATATATACACACACATATACTTATATGTATATATTATACTTGTTACATATACTGGTTTTGAACTACTATTATATATATTAGATTATATAGTTGGTGAATTTATATATAATCTGGAGTATGAAATATATGTTAATCTAGGAGTTGTATATAATCTAGGAGTTTTTAAAAAACTGGTGAATTTATATATAATTAGGAGTTTTGAGTGAATTTATTTATATATAATAAATATATAAATAAATAAATTTATTCATTTATTGGTGAGTTTATTTATATATAATCCAGGAGTTTAAAAATAATTTCTAGGCTGGGTGCTGTGGCCCACACCTGTAATCCCAGCACTTTGGGAGGTCAAGGTGGGAGGACTGCTAGAGCTCAGGAGTTGCAGACCAGCCAGGCATGGTGGTGCACACCTATAGTCCAAGCTACTTGGGAGGCTGAGGTGGGAGGATGGCTTAAACACAGGAAGTTGAGGCTGTAATGAGCTATAATTGTGCCACTGCACTCCAGCCTGGGCAACAGAGTGAGACCCTGTCTCAAAAAAGAAAAAAAGAAAAGAAAACGTAAAATAAAATAATAAGATTTTTTCTTCATTTTTTTTGTTTTATTTTTTATACCCACACTACACAGATGTAATATAAAAAGACTTTCTAGGCAAGACACACAATTCTAAAGTCTTAAAGGAAGAGAAAAATGTGAATATATACAAAGTGGAAAAAATATTGCAACATTTGGCAAGCAAAGAAAATCATTAATATACAACTTCTTGTACAACTCAGTAAGTAAAAACAAATCAAAAAGAAAATGGTCAAATCTATTAAAATCTTTGTCTCATTCACAATTAAATAACTGCATATAAAAATAATGAGTATATCCATATAATGAAATATTATCTGGCAATAAAAAGCAGAATTATTAAATAACTGCCAAAAAGTATAAATAACCCAAATTCTCATCAACTGATGAATGGATAAACAAAATGTGCTGTATCTATACAAAAGACTGTTATTCAGCCATAAAAAGGAATGAAAAACTGACACGTGCTACAACATGGATGAGCCTTGAAGACGTTATGCTAAGTGAAAAATGCCACACACGAGAGCATATGTTTTATGATTCCAATGACATAAAATGCTCAGAATACGTAAATCCAGAGAGACAGAAAGTGGGTTCATGGTCGCCTAAGGCGTGAGGGGGTGGGACTAGAGGGAAAATGGTGAGTGACTGCTAATAGATACAGTTTTGGGGGGAGGTCATGAAAATTGATTGTGGTGATGCTTGCACAACTCTGTGAAATACTAAAACCATTGAATTGTGCACTTCAAATGGGTAAACTGCCTGGCATATGAATTATATCTTAATAAAGCTGTTATTTTTTAAAAGCTTATGTAAAAAAAAAACCAATGAGCGATTTGAATTTGTTTATCATATTACAAAGCTAGATAATAATAAATGTTGTTAAGAATACAGACACAGTCATTCTCATGCTGTATTGGTAGGAGTGCAAATTGGTACACTTTTTTGAGGACAATTTAGCAATATCCTTCAAAATTTAAATACACCACATCCTTTAATTCTGCAATTCAAAAAATTACCATATGGATATACTTGCAAAAACTTGCCAATATAGATGTACAAGTATATCGTTTATAATAGAAAAATCTGAAAATCTGGAGCTAGCCATTCTGGGGACTATTATGCAGCCTTTTATTTTTTATTTTATTTCTTTTCTCTTTTTTTTTTTTTTGAGACAGAGTCTCACTCTGTCACCCAGGCTGGAGTGCAATGGCGCAATCCTGGCTCACTGCAAACTTCGCCTCCTGAGTTCAAGCGATTCTCCTCTCTCAGCCTCCTGAGTAGCTGGGATTATAGGCACATGCCACCACACCCAGCTAATTTTTATATTTTTAGTAGAGACGAGGTTTCACCACGTTGGCTAGACTGGTCTCAAACTCCTGACCTCAAATGATACACCCGCCTCAGCCTGCCAGAGTGCTGGGATTACAGGCATGAGCCACATGCCCGGCTTTATACAGCCTTTTAAAAATATTATAGTTATATGGGCTGATATGAAAGGATCTCCAAGAAAACAATAAAAATAACAAATATTTACTGAGCTTTTGCTATGTGACAGGCACTCTTCTAAGTCCTTTACATTCAATAACTCACTTAATCTTCTTTGGAACCCTATATTTTTATATCATCACCCTCATTTTCTAGATGGTGACACTGAGAGGCACAAATAGGTTTAAGCGACCTGCCAGAGATTGCATGGTAACTTAGTGGTAGACACAGAATTCAAAACCACTTGAATAAATTTAAAAAGTATACATCTATATAAATATGGCTTCATAGTTATTTTTTTCTTTCTAGGAGCATACGTAAGTAACTGTTTGAAGAGAGAGGTACTGAACTGCCTCCTGATTGGTTACTAGGAGGCAAATCAACAAAAGCTACAAAATGAGGTGGGTTTTTTTGTTTGTTTGTTTGTTTTTTAATGGAGGGATGGGAGTGGAGGGAGTTGTTAGTGTTTACTTTGTATGTTTCATGGTCTAATGTCTCTGTTACTGACTGGAAGCAGATTGCTGAACCCATAATTTGATTTGCCTGACATTTTTAGATATGAAAATCAAAGGTCAACCTAACATATCTAAAACTGAATGACTAATTGTCCTTCTGATCTTTTACTTAAATGAAACAACCAGTTTACAGACCTAATTTTCCCTTCTTAAGATGTTAATTCTCCCTTCTTAGGGTGTCTAAGACCTGACCCTTCTTTTTCAGTATAACTACATTATGTCTAGACTACTCCAATCTAGCATTCAACATTGGTTTTATCCCATTACTTTCTTGCACAAAAGCCTTCAAACTCCCAGTATTAGTCTGTTCTCACTCTGCTATAAAGAAATACCCGAGACTGGGTAATTTATAAAGGAAAGAGGTTTAATTGACTCACAGTTCCACATTGCTAGGGAGGCCTCAGGAAACTTATAATCATGGCAGAAGGCAAAGGATGAGCAGGCACCTTCTTTACAGCGTGGTAGAATGGAGCAAGTGCAAGCAGAGGAAATGCCAGATGCTTATAAAACCATCAGATCTCCTGAGACTTACTCATTATTACGAGAACAGCATGGGGGAACCAATCCCATGATCCAGTTACCTCCACCTGGTCCCACCCTTGACACATGGAGATTATTACAACTCAAGGTAGATTTGGGTGGGGACACAGAGCCAAACCATATCATTCCCCTCAGGTAATGGTTTCATCCTCAGCCCAGGTTTCACACCTTCCTTGGTCTGTTCAAATCTTTCTTTCCAGGCAGGGCATGGTTGGTCACACCTGTAATCTCAGCACTTTGGGAGGCCAAGGTGGGAAGATCGCTCAAGTCCAGGAGTTCAAGATCAGCCTGGGCAAGATGGCAAGACTCCATCTCTATTTAAAAAAAAAAAAAAAAAAAAAAAAAAGTATCTTTCCAGTATTATTTCCCACAACTTTACCCTCCACACCAGCATTTGCTTTATGAGATTTTTGCTTTATCCCTAAATCAGCCCGTCCCTTTCTTTCTGCCCATATCCATTATAGCCTGACTTCGAAGTCCAACTTCAATACAACATTTTATCTAGAGCCTTCCCTGACCATCCCAAGTCTAGTAAGAGTAATCACAGTTATGGCGACTTCCTTGTAAGCTCATCCAGGCATTATTTATGGTTTACTTTGCAATGGAAGAAATGCCAGTGCCTCCATTTTGTCCTCTCTCACCTGACCAAGATCCTCTCTCTGCAGATTACTGTCTCTCTCCCCTGTATCCTCAATCTCTCTTTCTTTACTGGCTCCTTCCCATCTCCATTTAAAACTTTTCAAGAGTCTCCAATTTTAAATGAAGCAGAAAGTATGTGGCAGGGAAAGTTCTGGTCCCCCTAAGTAAAGCGCTGAGAATACTGAATTGCAAGCCCCAGAATACTGCAGCAGTGAATTCCGGGGCTCGCAATTTTCCGTGCACTGCGTTAAGCTCCAAGTATCAGACAATTAAGCAGTGGGCAGATGGGGAGAGGGAGGTAAACTGTAACAAGTATTTTGGAAAAACAGTTTGACAGTAAAGAGTTGAAGATTAAAGTGTTCCCTGGGGCCTTACCTGCAGGCGATATGTTCCAAGATCCCCAGTGGATGCTTGAAACTGCGGATAGTACTGAACCCTATGTATACTATGTTTTTCCTTATACATACATACCTATGAATAATAAATTAGCCACAGTAAGAGATTAACAACAATTAACAAAATAGAACAATAATACCAATATACTGTAATAAAAGTTATATGAATTTGGTCTCTTTCAAAATATCTGATTGTACTGTACTCACCTATTTTCAGACGTTGACTATGGGTAACTGAAACCACAGAAAGCAAAACCACATGTTGGGGGGACTGTTGTAACATCCTTATGACCAAGCAATTCCATTCCTAAATATATACTCTATAGAATTCCTTGAGCATGTGCACCACGAGACATGTACAAGAATATTCATAGCAGCATACTTGTCATAGTCCAAAACTGCAAACAATTCAAATGTCCATCAAGAGTAGAGCAAATAAATAAAAATGGTTGTATTGTAATACACACAAATGTATTATACTGTATATGGAATGCTTAATAGTATTCTATACAAGAGAATACTACTGAGTGGTGAAAATGAATAAACCATAGCTACATGTAACGACATGGATGAATCCCATCAACATTTGAGAAAAAAAAAGGAAAAGCAACCCCTAATATCCAGCAGCTGTGCTCGTGCTATCAGATGGCCGCTCACAACTAAACATTGGTGTTCACCTGTTGAAAGTAAGTAATTTCATGTAACATAACACCAGATAAGGCCACACTGTGACCATGATAAAGACAAAAACAAGATTACTCTGTAATCACATCTGACCACAGACAAAACATGGATATTGCCCAGACCACAAAAATGACTAAGTACCCTCTTATTCTAGCTAATATGAGGGACTGCTGCTTTTTTCCCAATTACAGCATTAGCCTTGGTCTAGCCTTCCCTCCTTCTAGATAAGATTTAGTGCGATACTCAGTGCTCCTGACAGTATCTAATCCAGAGCAAAGTCCTTGTTCCTTAAACTCTCCCCAAAATTACCTAACAGAAGCCCAAATCCTACAATGAGTCCTGACACCCTCTTACTAGGATGTCCTGACACCCTCTTACTGAGATATCCTGACACTCTCTTACTGAGATGCCCCCTCCTTCCCCATGCTGTGCTTCCCCCTCACTATAATGAGTAACGAACTCAATTTCTTCAACTGCAGGAGTTTTCCTGTTGGACTGCAGGGCATTGGCACATTAAATTGAAAGAAGCAAGTCCTCCCAAGATAAAAACTTCCTTGAATAGGAATGATGAGAAAAATAACAATAATAATAAGAAGAAAAAAAGCAAAATATAAACTTGCATTCAAATTTCTTGAAATACTAATTACATTATTTAGGGATGCTTATCACATCCTAAGTGATGTGATACAACTATACAACTATAGCTGTATAAATGATACAACTATAGAAATAAAAGCAAAGAGGCCAGGCGCCGTGGCTCAAGCCTGTATTCCCAGCACTTTGGGAGGCCGAGGCAGGCGGATCACCTGAGGTCAGGAGACCAGCCTGGCCAACATGGTAAAACCCTGTCTCTACTAAAAATACAAAATTAGCCGGGCGTGGTGGTGCACACGTGTAGTTCCAGCTACTCGGGAGGCTGAGGCAAGAGAATCGCTTGAACCGGGGAGGCGGAGGTTGCAGTGAGCCAAGATGTACCACTGCACTCCAGCCTGGGCAACAAGAATGAAACTCTGTTTCAAAAAGAAAAAAAAAGAAGAAAGAAGGGCAGGGCAGGGCAGGGCAGGGCAGGGCAGGGCAGGGAAGGGAACGGGATGGGAGGGGAGGGGAGGGGAGGGAAGGGAGAAAGAAAGGAAATAAAAGCAAAGAGAGGATTATGACAAACACTGGCATAGTGTTAGCTCTGAGGGGAAGAAAGGGAGGGGCTAGGTCAAGGCATAATCGAGGAGTGAGCACCAGTGAAATCTGCTGCCAGAGAGCAGGTAGGGGAAAGCTGACTGAAACCTGGAAACTGACCTGACAGCTACAGAGGTGACCTCTTCTCCGGATGTGTCTGAGAAGAGGGCTCCAGCATTATTCCACTTGACAGAGAATGGATTCAAGAGCTTGTTTGATAATAAACCTTCAGTCTAGACGTAGCTTACCTTATTCAAGGATGAGTAAAGAGGGCAAAACACTGCAGCCTTGGAGACACTTGCAGAATAGGAAAAAGGAAACAACTTCCAGAAGGTTCCAGGGTAGAGCTTGCCCCAGGAATTGATCTACTGTAGAATACAGAAGGAAACTTCAGGGAACTGGAAGTCTCCAAAGGTATAAGAAGGATTATTTTTTTTTTAAGGGAAGGGCCAGGAGTTATTAAAAGAAAGGAATAAAATCAAGACATAAGGATGAAATGAAAAATGCAATGTATTCATCTGTTGAGGCTACTCTAACAAAGCACCATGGACTGGGTGGCTTTTAAAGAACAGAAATTTATTTCTGATTGTTCTCTAGGCTTGGAAGTCCAAGATCAAGGCACTGGCAGATTCGGTGTCTGGTGAAGGCCTGCTTGCTTCCCTTTAGACAGCCGTCTTCTCACTGTAATCTCACGTGGCTGAAGAAGCCAGAGGGAAGGGCCTCTCTCAGGCCTCTTTTATTAAGACACTAATCCAATGCATGAAGACTCCATCCCATGACCTAATCACCTCCCAAAGGCCTTTTACCTCCTAATACCTTCACCTTGAGGGTTAGGATTTCAACATATAAATTTTTGGGGAATGCAAGCATTCAGACCATACCATAGACAATCTTTTTTTTTTTTTTTTTTTTTTTTGAGACAGAGTGCAGCGTCACGATCATGGCTCACTGCAGCCTCAAACTCCTGGGCTCAAGCGTTACTCCCTTCTCAGCCTCTCAAGTAGCTGGGACTATAGGCATGAGCCACCACACCCAGCTAATATTTTATCTTATTTTATTTTATTTTATTTAGAAATAGGGTCTCACTCTGTTGCTCAGGCTGGTCTGGAACTCCTGAGCTCAAACGATCTTCCCACTTCGGCCTTCCAAAATGCTGGGTACAGGCATGAGCCATCATGCCTGGCCACAACAAGATTTTTATTAAAGGAAGAATGATGTAATGAAGAAAGATTGCAAGGAAATTCTTGTGTGCTGGAATTAAAAAAAAAAAAAAAAACAGGCCAGGCACAGTGGCTCACTCCTATAATCCTAGTACTTTGGGAGGCTGAGGCTGGCGGATCATGAGGTCAGGAGTTCGAGACCAGCCTGGCCAAGAGACCAGCCTGGCCAATATGGTGAAACCCCGTCTCTACTAAAAATACAAAAATTAGCCGGACATAGTGGTGGACACCTGTAATCCCAGCTATTCAGGAGGCTGAGGCAGGAGAATTGCTTGAACCCGGGAGGTGGAGGTTGCAGTGAGCCGAAGATCATGCCATTGCACTCCAGCCTGGGCAACACAGTGGGACTCCGACTCAAAAACAAAACAAAACACCACAATGTTGGAAGCGTAGCAAAACTGATGCTGTAGTGACAAGGACAAGTTAAATAACTTTCCCAAAATACAGGGAAAAAAAGGACAATGAATGATAAAGATAAGATGGTAGAAATGAAGGCTAAAGAGCGAAAAACAGAGTCAACTGACATTTCTTAAGAACTCAGAATCAGTGGAAAGACACACTCACCAGGGATATGAGAGGAGAGTGATTCTCCACTGGAGGGTGGAGATGAGAGAGTGTGATAACAGCCTGGGTGGGCACATGATGAGAATGGCCCCAATGGGCTGGCGTACTTTTAAATTGCAGTAATTAGTGTCTGCTAATTGGGCTGTATTGTGTGCTTCAGTTGAGTTAGGAAAAAAATAAGTCAGAACCACTGTAAAATAGAAGTCTGATATAAGAAAATGAATGCGTATGAATGAATGAGTGAAGTTGTTTAACTAGATCAAAAGTGCTAATACATGTTCCAGATGAAATAAATCTCAGGACTTCAAAACCAGACTGGGCAACACAGTGAGACCTCATCTCTACAAAAAAATAAAGGAAATGGCCGGGCGCGGTGGCTCACGCCTGTAATCCCAGCACTTTGGGAGGCCGAGGCGGGCGGATCACGAGGTCAGGAGATCGAGACCATCCCGGCTAAAACGGTGAAACCCCGTCTCTACTAAAAATACAAAAAATTAGCCGGGCGTAGTGGCGGGCGCCTGTAGTCCCAGCTACTTGGGAGGCTGAGGCAGGAGAATGGCGTGAACCCGGGAGGCGGAGCTTGCAGTGAGCCGAGATCCTGCCACTGCACTCCAGCCTGGGCGACAGAGCGAGACTCCGTCTCAAAAAAAAAAAATAAAAATAAAAATAAAGGAAATTAGCCAGGTGTGGTGGCATATGCTTATAGATCCTACTCCAGAGGCTGAGGTGGGAGGATTGCTTAAGCCCTGGAATTCGAGGCTGCAGTGAGCTACGAACATGCCATTGCACTCCACCCTAGGTGATAGAGTGAGACCCTGTCTCAAAAAAAAAAAAAAAAATCAAGAAAAACGTACACCTAGACATATTTGAACAAAATTTTTGAACCACAGAATTAAGAAAAAAAAAGCTACCATATTTTCTCATTATAAAAATTAAATCCCAAAACAAAGAAAAAAATTAATATTGTCACAAGTTTCTCTTTTTGTGTCACATGAAATACCTGAACGCAATGAAACAATGTTTACAGAGTGCTGAGAAATGAGGTTGAAATAATACTCAGCCACATTTTTATTCAGGAAAAGGCAATATAAAGACTCCTCCAATTCAAAAGCACTTGGAAAGAAGCCACCTCTGTACTCTTCATTAAAAATTACATGAGATGGACTCTAACAAACTAATAAACTGGTAAGTCATGGTGATCAGTACTTATCAACTAAAATTGAGATAGTTTTAATACAAAAATTAACTAAGCATGGTGACGTGCATCTGTAGCTCCAGCTACTCGGGAGGCTGAGGTGGGAGGATCACTTGAGCTGGGGAGGTGAGCCAAGAACATGCCACTGCACTCCAGCTCAGATGACAGAGCTAGACTCTGTCTCAAAAAAAAGGGAAAAAAAAAAGGAGATAGTTTTAACCAGTGGCACAGCAGATTCCTATTCTCTATACAACAAACTCAATTTCAGAAACAAAATCATTAAGTAAAACAACAATAATAATAGTTTATCTTTCAGAAAAGAAAAGCAGAAAGTGAAAATATTTTATTAAACTTTGTTCTAGTAAAAATTATTACATTACAAAAAAGGAAAATATGGATTAATGCTTTTTAATAACAATGACGTATTTTGTTTTTGTTTCTCATAAAAGGAAAATCTTGTAACTTTGTGCCTACATACTGGTTGGTTGCAGCAATGAATAATAGCATTACAGTTTGATAATAATTATGAAAGACCAACATGTTAAAAACAAGAATAAATTCCAATTGTAAAGATTTTATTCAAATTCAGTACAATATTTCACGTAAAAATGAAAATTTGTAATCAAATTTTTGCCAATCAAATACATTCACTTTGTAGTCTGCATTGTTTCACTGTTTCATATTACAAATATCAATAGCCCAAAAGGTCACAAAGGACAGAACTAAAGTTAACTCATATTCTTATTTTTTCTCTTTGTAATCACTATTATTTCAAATCTACTGTTTAAACACAGGCATTTCACTAGGATTGAAATCACAACTAGGCCCCCAAAGTGAGCTGGAACCATCTGGTCCATTATAAAGGTACTTTTAAAGGAGCCTGCAGGCCGGGCGCAGTGGCTCACGCCTGTAATCCCTGCACTTTGAGAGGCCAAGGCGGGCGGATCACGAGGTCAGGAGACCATCCTGGCTAACACCGTGAAACCCCGTCTCTACTAAAAATACAAAAAATTAGCCGGGCGTAGTGGCGGGCGCCTGTAGTCCCAGCAACTCGGAAGGCTGAGGCAGGAGAATGGCGTGAACCTGGGAGGCGGAGCTTGCAGTGAGCGGAGATTGTACCACTGCACTCCAGCCTGGGCGACAGCAAGACTCTGTCTCAAAATAAATAAATAAATAAATAAATAAATAAATAAATAAATAAATAAATAAATAAATAAGGAGCCAGCATCGCTGAGTCCCGTGTGTTGGAAACTGAAT
The DNA here is from genome assembly GCF_000001405.40 of Homo sapiens. NCBI lineage: Eukaryota > Metazoa > Chordata > Mammalia > Primates > Hominidae > Homo > Homo sapiens. The sequence goes on along the minus strand of NW_018654710.1, from coordinate 35,990 downwards.
GTATAACTGGAAATTCTTGTAATTTACTTCCATGTAGAACACTGGGTTTGCTGAAGGATGAGTAATAAAATGTGCTAAGTTGAAGTTTACATGCACATTATTAAAACTCAGTAACCTCAGCAATTGTTCAGATTTACGCCAAATATTTTTTTCAGGGAGGAATATTTTGTCATTGACCTTGTTTACGTTTGCTGGCACATGGTGATCAGCACGGCCCAACTTTCAGTTGATTTTATTATTGTTCCCACTGCCCTACCCTTGGTCTACCACTGGCTTTAATAATTCTGGGAGGCCAGACACGGTGGCTCACATCTGTAATCTCAGCACTTTGGGAGGCTGAGGTGGGACGACTGCTTGAGACCAGGAGTTCAAGGCCAGCCTGGACAACATAGCGAGACCTTATCTCTATTTTTTAAAATGGAAAATATGTATAAAAACTTTTCCTTCAGCTCTCATTCCACTCCGACCACTTCTTTTCTCAATTTTTATAATGCCTTTCAAACTTTAGTGTGTATAGGAATCCCCTGGAGAGATTGTTAATGCTCCTGTTTCCCCACCCCCAGAACTTCTGATTCAATAGGGTGACCCAACATTTGCATTTCAAACAATCATTTGCATTTCAAACAATATTCCCAAATGATGTTGATGCCGCATGCAGGTTGTGGATCACACTTCTAGAGACACTGGTCCAGAACTCAATAATTTAGAACGTATATTCTGTTGCTTTGTTCATTCTATGAAACACATATCTCTTTCATTAGACTGTGTTAGAACACATTAGACTGTGTTCATTAGATATGTGTTTCTATGAAACACATATCTCTTTCATTAGGGCAGGAATCTTGTTTCACACTCCTCTATCCTGTGCAGTACAAGAGTGCCAAGAGATGCCCATAGGATACGTGTTAATTGAGGCTTGGAGGTTTGCACATTTTCTCCATAATTTAGATGCAGTAAAGATTATGTGTTTGCAGCAGTCTCTTCCAGTAGTACCAGCTCTAGAAAATTTCCTGGCACTGGCTCTGAACTTGAATGCATCTGGAACCCATGAGGTGTGACCATGTGGCTTTATGTTCACCTGTCTTGGGAGGACAATTCTCTATGGGCCTCAGATTTTCTGAAAACACAATTTTATAATAAGACTTTTTCTTTGGTCTCCAGACTGTCCCTAAATTGGTGCAATCCTGAGGCTGAGTGATGCAACTTGATTATAAGACAGCAGTCTGGGTCTAGGTGGCCATACTAAGTATAAAATACACGTATGCAATCAATTTCTAGCTTTTTTTTTTTTTTTTTGACAGGGTCTCACCCTGTTGCCCAGGCTGGAGTGCAGTGGTGCAATCACAGTTCTTTGCAGCCTCGACCTTCTGGGCTCAAACAATCCTCCCACCTCAGCCTCCCAAGTAGCTGAGAATACAGGTGTGCACTACCACGTCTCGCTAATTTTTAAGTTTTTGGTAGAGATGAGGTCTCACTATGTTGCCCAGGCTGGTCTCAAACTTGTGGGCTTATAGCTTTATATTTTTAAAAGGAGTGATAGGATACACGGCTTCAGTCAGCCCACTGAATGCCTGATCCCATTCAGTATGAGTCATGGTACATTCAGCTGGCTGTATATGGCCTGATGGCCTTCTCTCCAGGGCAGCTAAAGGCAACAGAATACACACCCAATCCATGCTGTTACTCTGCATCTACTGAAGCCCATGCTTCCTTCTCTAAACAGTAGAGAAAGTCCCCAGTTTTCTTGGGGATCATAAATAATTGGAACAATTCCACCCACCTATTTCTGTGCTGGCATATCTGGAGTGCTGAGACACTCTAATTCTTCAACTTCTTCTTTGGATAGACCCTCTGTTCTCTTTCCCACAGGGTCTTGAGAAGACAGGAGGCATCGCTAAAGCTTGTGTATGTCTACTTGTGCCTTGTGAGTCTGTTATTGTGTAAAGATGCTCTCAGAGGGGGAATGAGAATGTGCTTCTAGTTCTGCCCCTAAAACTAGAAAATTAGTCTTTAATCCCATAGGAAAAGAGACCTGGCCCCTTACGCTGATCTGAGAAAATATGGAATATAGGTAGTTCCCAAATATACCGGACATAGGAACCTCTCAGGGAATAAACTTTGGTTGATAAATTGCAAACAGGCGGCCAGGCGCAGTGGCTCACGCCTGTAATCCCAACACTTTGGGAGACTGAGGCGGGCAGATCATGAGGTCAGGAGATTGAGGCCATCCTGGCTAACACGGTGAAACCCCATTTCTACTAAAAAAAAAAAAAATGAAAAAAAAATAGCCAGGCGTGGTGGCACGTGCCTGTAGTCCCAGCTACCCAGGAGGCTGAGGCAGGAGAATCACTTGAGCGACAGAGCAAGACTCCATCTAAAAAAAAAAAAAAATTGCGAACAGGCATGGAGGAGCCGGGGTACAGTATTTTGAATCACTATACACAATGCAACAAAGATTTATTAAGCACTCAGGTCACAAACATTGTACTGGGCACTGAGGACAGGATGGTACAACAAAAATAGGCAGAATTATTGCTTATGGAACATGTGGTTATTCTCATGAAGCTTACAGTTTCACAGCAAGGTAATTATTAACATAAAAGCATTCTGATAAGTATAAACGTTTACTGTAAATGCTGTGAAGAGGAGCATATGGTGCTATAATTGCATGATATAGACGTCGTCAACCTAGAAGGGGCACTAAGGGACAACTTTCCTGAAGGGCTGACTACTGAGCTGAGAGCTGAAGGATGAGTGGAAACTACTCGGGTAAAGAGTGTTCTAGACAGAATGATATGCAAAGGCCCTGTGGCAGGAATGAGCATGAATTGCTCATGGCATTGAAGAAGGCTGCAGTGGCTGAAGCAGACGCTAGGGGGAGCATGGTACAAGATGTTGCTAGGGAGGAAAAAAGGACCAGACCATGTCTGGGTCTCTTAAATCACAGTAAGAATTCTTATGAGCAATAGGAAGCTACTGAAATGCTTAAGCAGGTTTCTGTTTTGAAAGAGCTACTCTGGCTGTTGGCTGTTGCAGAGTTAATGGATTGAAAGGGCCAATAGTGCTGCTAGGAGGTGATTGCAGGACAATTGCAGTCACCCAGAGGAGAGAAGATGGAAGCTTGGTCTAGGGTTGGGAGAGGGGAAATGAAGAGAGGTAGACAGCTCTGCACAGAAGAGTTCCCTGTATGTGATGCAAGCTTCTAGGAGAGCTAAGCATTTGAAGCCTTTGTTATAAAGCTAACTGATTATGGAACAGTAGTTTTAATTTAGGTGGCCGTATTAGGTTTGTAAGCATGTGATTGACTTCTAGCTTCATATTTTAAAAGTGATAATGGGACAGGCAGTTTTTCTAGAGAAGTGGAGTCCTGGAGAGTGAGTAGAGAAGCCAGCTCAAGGAGAAATTCCTCAGGAGTGCCATTCTGCTTTATCACCACTGAGTGCTGCTGTTTCCAATGACAAGTTCCCAAGAAACCAAAGGGCCAAGTAAGGTAAGAGGAACAGTGGCGGGGGAGCGGGGGGTTGGCAGGGGGCAGCGGGGAACCAACTTAGAGTTTTAAAAAGTGGAGAAGACAAAGATGTTTTCTAATTTTGGAAACCTGAGTCCTAAGCTGCAAGGGTCCAAATCAAATTTTTGGGAAGGTCATTTTGTAATATGGTAACTTCTTGCTTTACTGTCAGCATCTCTAAAGACAGTCCCCAGTAATAAAGGGGCCAAAAGAGGCTTTTTTAGAACCATTAGTGTACCCCTCCTGTACAGTCCCATTAGCGGGCCTTGTTAAACCAACCCAGACAAAGAGCAAAGATGCCCTAGTTAATGGAGAGTCTCCGATAATTACTCTGCTCAGCCGCTTCTTTTAGGGTCTGAATGGTCTTTAAATAATGTTTCTCTTGCTGTGGTCACAGACAATGACCTAGCAGTCTGCTTTAAGCGGTGCCAATCCCATTAGCCGAAGAATAGCAAAGCTCTGTGTGTGTCTGCGTGCCAAGGAGCGAGTGTGTGTGTGTGTATGTGTCTGTGCGTGCATGTGCGTGTGGTGAGGAGCTCAGCTTATGGCAGGGATCAGGCTTAATGTTGCTTTCTTCCTCTTTTCCTCCCTTTCTCTACACATCCATCCCTCCCAGGAACCAAACATACCACTGTGTCTATTGGGTCATCTGCCTGTTGAGTGACAACCTGCCCTTACTGAAAATGGAAACAGACTCCCTTAAATGCTTGCGGACGATGTTTCTCATTCCTACTTACTAAACACTTCTCTGTAGGATGTGATTCTAAACATGCCCCTGTCCTCTAAGAACTTCACGTCCCAGAACCACAATAATGCAAACAATGTAAAGTCACCCCAGTAAATGTGTGCCATTCAGGGTGGAAAATGTTTTAAAAGCTTCATAAATGTGGAAGAAAAAGATTGAGGGTACAAAAGTTATAGGAAGAATGCCAAGATCTTTGGAATATTTTCCTCTGTGGCTCTCTCTCCTGATGCCTTGCAACTCTTTTTTCTGATAATGAGAATGCTTACTTATATTTGAAGACAAGTTATATCCCAGACACAGAATGTGGAAACGGGGCAACATTAATTTATTTAGGAAGGATCGAGTGCTCCAACATGAAAGTGTGAATAAGTTCGATCGTGAACTGTTTTGTAATAAAAATGTACAAAACAACATTCAGAAACACTGCCGTAAATGGAACCTGGTTGCAACCTGCTCTTGCCCACCGTTGTCTGGAGGACTTTTTCAGAAGCTCCAGAGTGGTCTGATTCAACAGTTTTTGAATCAACTGAGTGTGAAAACAGGCTAGCATAAGTAGGTAGGGTGACTCCACTCACACAAATACATGGGAGTGAGTTATTTGCAGCTCATTAAGTATCACAGGGCCTCTCCCCACCACATACCCACCCATCACCCACATCATATGCCTCCTAGGAAGAATGATTATATTGAAGCCAACAGGATAAAAGAGCCATTTTCTGTTTCTGGGTTCTAGAAAGACATCCTAGACAAAGAAATAGTCTACTTGGTAAAACTAAAAAGATGCTCCATTTAGTTCTTACTTTCTTTAACTTTGATCTGCAGTTGTTGTTGTTGTTGTTGAGACAGGGTCTCACTCTGTCACCCAGGCTGGAGTGCAGTGGCATGATCTTGGCCTGAGCAACAAGAGTGAAACTCCATCTCAAAAAAAAAAAAAAAGCTCATTTGGGTCTCAGTGTAGTGTTGGGGGAAGATTTTTAGATCACATAAGAAAAGAAAAGAGATGGGGCTGTTAGAGATAGGAGTGGACCTTAGGTAAGATATAAAAAAAAAACAAAAAACAAAAAAACAGGCCAGGTGCAGTGTCTCGTGCCTATAGTACCAACATTTTGGGAGGCTAACGCAAGAGGGTCACTTAAGGCCAGGAGTTTTAGACTAGCCTGGGCAACGTCCTATCTTTGTAAAAAAAGAGAAAGACAAATTTAAATTAGCCAGGTGTAGTGGCCTGATCCTGTAGTCCCAGCTATTCAGGAGGCTGAGGTGGGAGTTCAAGGCTGCAGTGAGCTATGATTGCGCCACTGCACTCAAGTCTGGGCAACAGAGCAAGACCTGGTATCTTAAAAATAAAAAAACAAAAGACATGATGTGTGCTTCATGAAAGGGCCATATACGCAAACCAACCCCCAAATGCAGAAGGAACCAAGAAACCAAAGAACAAGGCAGACAAATCCAGTTTGTCAGTAGAGGGTTATTTACTGGGGAACTTATGGACAAAAGGATGGTCTTGGGCAGCTGCCAGACAGGTAGATTTCCACAGTTTTCTCCCAGATATATACCACAGAGAAAGGGTATATGTGCTTTAGAAGGAATGTATAAGGACAATTGAAGTCCACCTCTCAGGAAAAGGGAAGAATGCTATGTGTGTCATAGCCTAAGGGCAGGATTTGATAACATCAAGGGTGTCTTGGCCTAAGAACAGGATTTACAGACAGTATACATAGATAAAAATAGAAATCTTAGAGGCATTCCCCAGACTGGGGTTAATCAGAAGTCAACATGGCAGATTAGCATCCAAGATGGAGTCACTTTTGTCTCCACAACCAGTTCACCAAAATTTGAACAAGGGAGTGTTCTTTCCAAAATGCTCTTTGCTTGTAGACAAATGAGTATGTTTGCCTTAATTGTCATAGACATTTATTTGATTTCTGTTTGAGTATTGCTCTTAGATCTTAAACTGGAAGGATGACTATATGTCCATCACCTAATAAACATTTTGATGTCTAGTATTCCTTTATCTGAAAAACAAAAAAACAAAATAACAACAAATCCTTAAAAATCACTGTTGAAACCCAAGTATAATTCTGAATCCTGATTGTCTTCAACATTACAAATATAAATTGCTCATTAGATCTTCCTATAGACCATCATTGTGCTTGGTATTGTGAAGAGTAGTAAATATAATTCCTAATCCTACACTTTGTGGCTAGGATTCTAATTCAGATGTCCTGATTCTTTTATTTATTTATGTTTTATTTAGAGATGGGGGTCTTGCTGGGCCAGGCGGGGTGGTTCATGCCTGTAATCCCAGCACTTTGGGAGGCCGAGGCAGGTGGATCACTTGAGGTCAGGAGCTCGAGACCAACCTGGCCAACATGGTGAAACCCTGTCTCTCCTAAAAATACAAAAAATTAGTTGGGCTTGGTGGCATATGCCTGTAATCCCATCTACTCCAGAGGCTGAGGCAGGAGAATCACTTGAATTCGGGAGGCGGAAGTTGCAATGAGCAGAGATCACACCACTGCACTCCAGCCTGGACAACAGAGTGAGACTTGGTCTCAAAAAAAAAAAAAAAAAAAAAAAAGAGATGGGGTCTTGCTATATTGCCTAGGCCAGTCTTGAACTCCTGGCCTCAGCAATCCTCCTAGCTTGGCCTCCCAAAGTGTTGAGATTATAGGCATGAGCCACCGTACCCAGTCACAAATGTCCTGATTCTCAATCCAGTGCTTTTTCTAGTATAACAAAGCCTCTCTTATGACATAAGTACCTTATCAAAATCCCACATATATAAAAGATAAAATATTGCATTAAAAGGGTTGATCCCCAGTAGACCCTCCATGCACTGCCATCAGTCCTGGGCAATCAGCTGTTCTCTGGCTCCCCTCTGGCCTCTTTGGCCTAGAAGGTAGCAACCTGGAGGCCCCTCCTTCTAGATCAGGTACATGGGGCTTCAGAATTCCCTGCCCTGAAAGTTGAGAGCCTGCCTCCGGGCTGCATGGGCCTTTTTCCCAGGGTTTGTCATCCTGGGAGCTGACCCAGCTGTCAGTATGTCGTCATAGGCCTGAGGAGTGACTTCATCTGGGGAAGCAGTCGGTGAAGTTAGGACATGGCCGCTGAGGTGTATGCATACACATGTGGGTCCTTGTGGTGCAGGACAGGGCCTAGGCTGGGAATCTGAGGGCACCCATTTGTTTTCTTCCCCCAATCCTTGTAACTATCAGGGGTGTGCCTGCCATTAAGGACCTGTTCTGGCAAGGTGAAACTTCGCTCTTTGAATTTTTCCTGGCAGTTTAGTTTTGAGCACACGTCAAAGTTTTGTTATACTCTGGCTGCCAGGGCAGTTCAACTTGGTTTTTTTGTTTGTTTTGTTTTTCCTTTTTTATTTTTTTGTGGAGAATGGGGTCTCACTATGTTTCCCAGGTAGATCTCAAACTCTGAGACTCAAGCTATCCTCCTGCCTCTGCCATCCTAAGTGCTGGGATTACAGGTGTGAGCCACCATGCCCTGCTACCAGGGAAGTTCAACCCAAAGATTCACTCTTGGTAGGACATTTTGTAAGAAGGGAAAATAGGTCATCATTTCTGATTAAAGTTCAGTATATTCTTTTTTGTTATTTTTATTTTTTGCACTACTCTGCAATATGATATCTCCATTTTGCTGCATGAAATAACAGATTGTTTGTCAGAGGCCAAATATTACTAAGCACTGTTATTAACTCTCAATATGGGCTGGTTGCGGTGGCTCTCACCTGTAGTCCCAACACTTTGGGAGGCTGAGGTGGGCGGATCACTTGAGGTCACAAATTCGAGACCAGCCTGGCCAACATGGTGAAACTCCATCTCTACTAAAAATACAAAAAATTAGCCGGGCATGGTGGTGGGTGCCTGTAATCCCAGCTACTCAGGAGGCTGAGGCAGGAGAATCACTTAAACCTGGGAGGCGGAGGTTGCAGTAAGCCGAGATCACGCCACTGCACTCCAACCTGGGTTACAGAACGAGACCCGGTCTCAAAAAAAAAAAAAAAAAAAAAAAATCTCAATGTGAATTAACTCATTTCAACAACACTTTGAGGTAGATAATATTATTACTATTATTATGTCATCATCATCCCCATTTTACCTATGGATAAACTGAGGCACAGAGAAGTAAAGTAGTTTGTGCAATCCCTGAAAATTAAAAAGCGGTAGAGACAAGATTCTAACCACAGTGCAATGCTGCTTCTATTCAATCTCCTCTGCTTTTCTACCTCTACTTATCCTTTAGGTCAAGCTCAAACCCTCCCTCTTTATAGAAGCCTATCTGAGCAGCTCCATCTGATTTTCTGGACTTCTGGACGTTCCTTTGCCTTCATCCCTCCCTGGATGTTTACTGTTTGGGACTGCTGGAAATCTTTCCAAATTTGTATCTATTAGCTCTACCATCTAAAAGTGAAAGGTCTCAGAGTATATGTTCCAGGTTGAAAAACATTTTTAGGTGAAAAGTGACTAGATTGACAGTTGAGTAGGCAGATGACTGGTTTCCCATAACAAGTACGGTGGACTCTGTGATGTACTGCCCAGATCCCCCATCAAAAAAGGACTTGTTGCTCCAGCTTCCGGGAGTGCTGTCAGCAGATTACCATCAGTGGCCATTCTTCTTAGGGACTGTCTCAAGTTCATAGAGCCACCTTGCCCTAGAGTGGCCCATATCCAATGACTAAGGGATGTGGGAATATAAAATCCTGGCCATCTGGGTCAGTGGTGTGCTGGAGCCAGCTTCTACTGATTCTTAAGGCTTTAATATGTGCATTTCCAATTCTGTGTTCTGTGATGATACATCCAGAGCTTGAAATTAGGCATGGTAGGGATTTTTATATTGTGAAAATCGGCAAACTCTAACAAATCAGAACTTTTACTTTTTCAGAGTCAGTTTACCAGCACACCACTGTTCTTGGTTCTACATAAAAACTATGCTGAAGCCACATCAAGACTGAGACAGTTTTTCTTTTATAATATTTTAACTTTCTGGACGATTCTCTTGTAATCACCCAATGGCTTCTTCCTGCCCACTGCACAGATAAAATCAATATACTAAGACTGTGGCATTGCAGTAGGGAAAGAGTTTAATTGACATGAGGCTGACTCATGCAGAGGAACTGGAGTTATCACTCCAATCAATCTCCCCAAAGGCTGGAAGACTAAGGTTTTTATGGACAATTTAGTGGACAGGAGGCTAGGGAATGGATGCTGCTGATTGGTTGGGGATGAAATCATCAACGTGTGGAAAAAGCTCCTGGTGCACTCAGTGCGCCTCTAGGTGGGGCCATATGACCAGTTGAGTTATGAGTCACAAATCCAGGTGAGGTCAGTCTGAAACAACTACAAACCCAGTATTCGTTTCTACAACAGTGGTGTTATCTATAGGAGCAAGTGGGGAAGTCACAGATCTTGTGGCCTCCTGGCCACATTACTCCTGGCAGTAAAGGATTATAGAAACTACATCTACATTTTACCAGAGTTCAAGCCCCTTCCATAATCCTATTCTGTGGTCTTTCATTAGTCTTACAAAGGCGGGTTTCTGTCCCTGAGCAAGGAGGGGGCTAGTTTTAGGGAGGGACTATTATCATGCTTGCTTTCAAGTTAAACTATAAACAAAATCCCTCCCAAGGTTATCTTGGCCTATGGCCAGAAATGACCAAAGATAGTTTGAAGGTCAGAAGCAGGATGGAGTCAACTATGTCAGATTTCTTTTACTGTCATAATTGAAACCACAAAGGCAGTTTCACTCATCTTTAAGCTGTTAATGGAGGCCTCTGGATAGTACTGACCATTATACAAGCCACCAAGAGTCAATGAACCTCATACCTAGAGGACAGTGAATTCCTTAGTAAATGCTTGTTTTTTCTGTTTTGTTTTGTTTTGTTTTCCAGATGGAGTCTCACTCTGTTGCCAGGCTGGAGTGCAGTGGCATGATCTCAGCTCACTGCAACCCCTGCCTCCCAGGTTTAAGTGATTCTTCTGCCTCAGCCTCCTGAGCAGCTGGGACTACAGGTGCGCGCCACCACGCCCAGCTAATTTTTGTATTTTTAGTAGAGATGGGGTTCCACTATGTTGGCCAGGATGATCTCGATCTCTTGACCTCGTGATCTGCCCACCTCAGTCTCCCAAAGTGCTGGGATTACAGGCATGAGCCACTGCACCCAGCCAGTAAATGCTTGTTGAATGACCACATTCAAATTGCTCTATTAACGTCTTCTGTAAATTCTATCACTTATTCTTGATCTTTCTAGTTTAAAAAGCCTTGGTAGTTGGTGGTGGGGTGGGAAATCATTGAATAGTTAGCTTTGCTAATGGCTTTTCGCTTTTTTTCTGTTAACTTATTTGTAGAAGTGATAGTCAAAAGAGTTAAAGACATATATGGCCTGGCCATCAACTAATCAAAAAGAATCCTAGGCCACGCACAGTGGTTCACGCCTGTAATCCCAGCACTTTGGGAGGCTGAGGCAGGTGGATCCCCTGAGGTCAGGAGTTCAAGACCAGCCTGGCCAACACAGTGAAACCCCGTCTCTACTAAAAATACAAAAATGAGCTGGGTGTGGTGGTATGCACCTTTAATCCCAGCTATTTGGGAGGCTGAGGCAGGAGAATCGCTTGAACCCAGGAGGTGGAGGTTGCAGTGAGCCGAGATTGCGCCACTGCATCCAGCCTGGGCAACGGAGTGAGACTCCGTTCCCCCCCACCCAAAAAAAAGAATCTTGGCCCTAATGTAAGAGCAGGGCCATTTTGCTCTTACATTAATGAAAGATGGGCTGAAATACCCACCATTTCAGCAAAATAGGGTCAGATATTAATCTTTTGTGTGCTGGATCTTAGGATGTGGGAGGTTTCTTGTAAAGAGACCTTAAGATACTTAGAGTGCTTAGAGACTGAAGCTAGTTACCAACCCATATGGAACTGTTTCAATATTTTAACAGCAGGTATGTCCTTGTGGGTGCCTTCCAGCTGAACAGCAGGTTCATTTATACTTTCAAGGAATAACTCTATTTGTGACTTCAATATTTGACATCCCCTATGCTTTTAATTTACCTAAAGAGACAAAGAACAGTAATTACACTATGTTGGTCTTAATAAATATCCTAATCATTTTTACTTGGGCTTATTTTGGGAGATGGGTGAGGTATACTTGGCTTGCAAATTTTAAGCTATAAATAGCACTAAAAATGTTCTGATTAAGTTTAAAACACTTTTGATGAGGTTTTTGTTTTGTTTCTTGGAAGACAGCATTGTTTTTTTGAATCCTGGTTTGAGCATTACTTTAGTAAATGAAGGCTAAAAGGAAAATACTTAATGAAAGTATATAGTAATGGCACTTCCTCATATGATGTTTAACATTTTTTGAGATCATTTTCTAAGTACCATAATACTTGTGGAGGAAAATGCAAAGATGAACAAGATAGGGTGCCTGCCCTGCCAGGGATGCTGAAGGGGATATGATGGGGGAAATTTTGTATTTGTCAATTAACCTCAATAAAGCTGGGAAAAAAATCAATTAATTAATTAAAAATGGGGAACCTAAAGTTGGAAAAGAAGAGTTTCCAGGAGTGGGTTAAAAAAAAAAAAACAGGCTTTCTTGTTGTTGTTGCCACATCTACTGCAAGAATGAAGACCATTCTCAGCAACCAGACTGTTGACATTCCAGAAAATGTCGACATCACTCTGAAGGGACGCACAGTTATCGTGAAGGGCCCCAGAGGAGGCCTGTGGAGGGACTTCAGTCACATCAATGTAGAACTCAGCCTTCTTAGGAAGAAAGAGGCTCCGGGTTGACAAATAGTGAGGTAACAAAAAGGAACTGGCTACCGTTCAGACTATTTATAGTCACACACAGAACATGATCAAGGATGTTACACTGGGCTTCTGTTACAAGATGAGGTCTGTGTCTGCTCACTTCCCCGTCAACGTTGTTATCCAGGAGAATGGGTCTCTTATTGAAATCTGAAATTTCTTCGGTGAAAAATACATCCCCAGGGTTTGGAGGAGGTCAGGTGTTGCTTGTTTGGTATCTCAAGCCCAGAAAGATGAATTAATCCTTGAAGGAAACAACATTCAGCTTGTTTCAAATTCAGCTGCTTCGATTCAGCAAGCCACAACAGTTAAAAACAAGGATATCAGAAAAATTTTGGATGGTACCTATGTCTCTGAAAAAGGAACAGTTCAGCAGGCTGAAGATCTAAGAGTTGTCCAGCTACAGAAACAAGATGCTGGAAGACTCCTAAGACCTATTTGTGATATTTAAATGATGCAATAAAAGACCTTTGATTTTGGGAAAAAATAGGTGTCTGAACTATAAAATGGGAAGAAAGGGGTATGTGGGAGATAAGTCTGGAAAGGTGAAGTGTCAGTCAAGACACTTGCAGTTGTAAATGTCAGAAACCAACACAAACTCCCTTGAGATAACATGGGATTAATTGATAATAGAACTATAGGGTCTAGGAGGTGAGGTTAAGCTCCAAGCCTGAGGAGATCCTGGGACTCAAGCAAGGTCATTTGCTCTTACTCTCCCACCACACCTTCCAACTCCCCTCACACAAAATCTTCATCCCTCCCTTGGTGTTACTCTCCTCTCTCCTGTCACCCTCCTTCCCTTGTTCTGCAGACAGGCATTCTCACATGGTGGGAAAGATGGCCATCAGGGGCCTCCAATTCACATCCTTCCAGTCCTGTATCCCAATAGGCAAGGCTCCTTCCACAGCTTCAGAGATAAAAATTCCAGGGAAGGACTCTGATTGGGTGGGTCACATGCCCACCCTGGCTCAACTGCTATAGCCAAGAGACTAGGGTACTGTGAATAGTAGAACTGGCTTAGCATTGATCACATACTTACCCTGTGTCTTACAGGTAGGGGAAGTTCCCAAAGGAAGTAGGAATGCTGAGTGCAGAAAAACAGAGATGTCCCCACATGTAGGAGGGAGCCAATAATGTAGAGAGCCTCAAGGTCAAGCCATGAAGTCTGAACTCCTTCTGGCAATAGGAGGCCGTTAAAAGTATTGGAGGCCGGGCGTGGTGGCTCACGCTTGTAATCCCAGCACTTTGGGAAGCAGAGTGGGGGGCAGATCATGAGGTCAGGAGTTCGAGACCAGCCTGGCCAACACGGTGAAACCCTGTCTCTACTAAAAATACAAAAAATTAGCTGGGCATGGTGGCAGGCGCCTGTAATCCCAGCTACTCGGGAAGCTGAAGCAGGAGAATAGCTTGAACCCAGGAGGCAGAGGTTGCAGTGAGCTGAGATCACGCCACTGAATGCACTCTAGCCTGGGCAACAGGGCTAGACTCCGTCTAAAAAAACAAACAAACAAAAAAGTATTGGAGTAAGAAAGTGGCTGTGGATTAATAATTGGACTAGATAATCTTCTAGGTTTCATTTCATTCTAGTTTTGGGTGTTTTTTTGTTTTTGTTTTTTAAGACAGGATCTCACTCTGTTGCTCAGGCTGGAGTAAGAAAGCAGCTGGGGATTAACAATTGGACTAGATCGTCTTCTAGGTTTTGTTTCATTCTAGTTTTAGGGTTTTTTGTTTGTTTGTTTTGTTTGTTTGACAAGATCTCAATCTGTTGCTCAGGCTGGAGTGCAGTGGTATGATCATAGCTCACTGCAGTGTCCAACTCCTGGGCTCAAGTGATCCTCCTGCATCAGCCTCCTGAGTAGCTGGAATCTTGTGCCACCACACCTGGCTAATTTTTTAATTTGTTATTTTTTGTAGAGATGGAGTCTCGCTATGTTGCTCAGGCTGGTCTCTAATTCCTGGGCTCAAGTGATCCTCCTGCCTTGGTCTCCCAAAGTGTTGGGATTACAGGTGTGAGCCACTGCCCCCAGCAAACCTTAATTACTGAGCTACAGCATGACGCTCCATTCTGTGTTAAAAATCATTCCGATAATGGAAAGAGAGGCCTTCCTGAATGTTAGGGTATAAAGAAGTCAAAAAAATGGTTCCCCTAATGTAAACTATGAACTTTACATTACATGGGTGGTAATGATGTGTCTGTCAGTGCAGTTTCATTGATTGTAATAAGTGTACCACTGTGGTGCAGGATTGATAGTGGGAGAGGTTGTGGGTTTGAGGAGCAGGGGATATATGGGAAGTCTGTACTTTCTGCTCAATTTTCCTGTGAATCCAAAATTGCTCTAAAAGACAAAAGAAGGCCGGGTGCGGTGGCTCACGCCTGTAATTCCAGCACTATGGGAGACCAAGGCGGGCAGATCACAAGGTCAAGAGATGGAGACCATCCTGGCCAACATAGTGAAACCCCGTCTCTACTAAAAATACAAAAATTAGCTGGGTGTGGTGGCAAATGCTTGTAGTCCCAGCTACTCAGGAGGCTGAGGCAGGAGAATCACTTGAACCCAGGAGGCGGAGGTTGCAGTGAGCCGAGATTGCGCCACTGTACTCCAGCCTGGGCAACAGAGCCAGACTCCATCTCAAAAAAAGAAAAAAAAGGCAAAAGAAGATGATGGAGCTGCTTTTAGCAGACAACCTTTTGAATGGAGATATGAACTTAAATATTTTACATTTAGAGAGGCAAAATGTTCCTAGCTGACATACAGAGGCCTAGCTGACATATAGAGCTCCTAGCTGACATACAGAGGTCCATGAGCCAGTGGCTGCCTAGCTGAGATTATTCTCAGCCCTAAATCTTTCAGCCTTTTTCTGGGATCATCCCCTTAATTCTGGTGCTGAGGATCTGTATTAGTGAGAGTGAATAAAATCAGTCATTTTGCAAACACAGCTTTTTTTGTTTTTTTTTTTTTTTTGAGATGGAGTCTTGCTCTATCTCCCAGGCTGGAGTGCAGTGGCATGATCTCAGCTCACTGCAGCCTCCGCCTCCCAGGTTCAAGTGATTCTCTGCCTCAGCCTCCGAGTAGCTGGGATTACAGATGTGTGCCATGACACCCGGCTAATTTTTGTATTTTTTAGTAGAGACAGAGTTTTGTCATGTTGGCCAGGCTGGTCTTGAACTCCTGTCCTCAAGGGATCCGCCTGCCTTGGCCTCCCAAAGTGCTGGAATTTCAGGCGTAAGCCACTGTGCCAGGCCAAAAGCAGTTTTTTAAATGCATTTTATGTCCCAGACTTCATGCTTAATCCATGAAAAACAATGACAAATCACAAACTCCTGACATCAGACTTCAAGACTAGTCTGAAAGAGTTTTTCTCAAAGGATGGTCCATGGATCACCAACTTGG
Organism: Homo sapiens; assembly: GCF_000001405.40. Taxonomy (NCBI): domain Eukaryota; kingdom Metazoa; phylum Chordata; class Mammalia; order Primates; family Hominidae; genus Homo; species Homo sapiens. The sequence goes on along the minus strand of NW_018654710.1, from coordinate 20,528 downwards.
GAAGCACTGAGGACCTTGTAGAAATTATGGAATTCAGGACCCTAATGTAGGTAGATCTTCAGAATAAAAATCTGTGAATGTGTGATCCAGGAATCTGCGGGGGTTTTTTTGTTTTTTGTTTTTGTTTTTGTTTTTTTTTTTGAGATGGAGTCTCACTCTGTCGCCCAGGCTGGAGTGCAATGGCATGATCTCGGCTCACTGCAACCTTTGCCTCCTGGGTTCAAGCAATTCTCCTGCCTCAGCCTCCCAAGTAGCTTGGACTACAGGCACCAGCCACCACATCCGGGTAATTTTTTGTATTTTTCGTAGAGACAGTGTTTCGCCATGTTGGCCAGGCTGGTCTCAAACTCCTGACCTCAGGTGATCCGGCCGCCTCAGCCTCCCAAAGTACTGGGATTACAGGCATGAGCCACCACACCCGGCCTAGGAATCTGCATTTTTAACAGCATTCAAGAACCTTGACACTCAAAATGCAGCATCACTTAGGAGATCATGACTGTTGGAGAGGCCCCATCCCAGACTTACTGTATCAGATTCTGCATTTTGACAGAATTCTTACCCGTTAAAGTTTGAGAAACACCATCCTAGAAGATTCTGTTCCATGTGAATTTTGAGAACCACCAATCCAATGGAAGACTGATCTGTGTAGCACAATGTAATGGGTACATTTATAAAGGAACACATGAGATCCTCTAGGAGTGCATAAAAGGAGCAGGTTCCCCTATCAGGCAAGGTTTCCAGAAGAGGTGTGATGTCATCTGCTTTTTTTTTTTTTTTGAGACAGCGTCTCGCTCTTTTGCACAGGCTGGAGTGCACTGGCTCAATATCAGCTCACTGCAACCTGCGTCTCCTGAGTCCAAACGATTCTAGTGCCTCAGCCTCCTAAGTAGCTGGGATTACAGGTCGTGTGCCACCATGCCTGGCTAATTTTCGTTTTAGTAGAGACAGGGTTTCACTATGTTGCCCAGGCTGGTCTCGAACTGCTGGCCTCAATCAATCCACCCGCCTCGACCTCCCAAAGTGCTGGGATTACAGGCGTGCACCGCCATGCTCTGCTAATTTTTGTATTTTTAGTAGAGATGAGGTTTTATCATGTTGGTCAGTCTGGTCTCGAACCGCTGGCCTCCAGCGATCCACCCGCCTTGGCCTCCCTAAGTGCGTGGATTACAGGCACGAGCTACCACACCCGGCCTTTTTTTTTTTTTTTTTTAGAGTGAAAGTTTATTAAAAAGCTTTAGAGTAGTAATGAAGGGAAGGAAAAGAAGAAAAGAACACTTGGAAGAAGACCAAGCAAGTGACTTGAGAGACCAAGCACCTGTTACCTGCTTCTTAAAGAGCAAAGAGAAATTAGCCAGCCTAAGTAAGAGGATGGGCCAGGAGTGAGAACTCTCATCAGAGGGAATCACATGTACAAAGTCCTGAGGCAAAAGAGAATACTGCAAATATTCTCTTTTGGTAATTAAAACAAAACAAAACAAAAAATGTACCTCTGGCCAGGTGAGGTGGCTCACACCTGTAATCCCAGCACTTTGGAAGGCAAGGAAGAAGGATTGCCTGAGGCCAGGAGTTCAGGATCATCCTGGGCAACACAGGGAGACCTTGCCTTTACAAAAAAAAAAAAAAGAGAAAGAAAGAAAAAAGAAGTTAGCCACGTTGTGGTGATGCGTGCCTGTAGTCCTAGCTACTCAGGAGGCTGAGTTGGGGGGATCCCTTGAACCCAGGAGTTCAGGGCTGCAGTGAGCTATGATCGTGCGACTGCACTCTGGCCGGGGCACAGAGTGAGATCCTGTCTCTAGCAAAACAGAAAAAAAAGTACCTCAAATTGCAGGGTTTAAAGAAAGCTTATTTAAACTTTGAATATCAACCAAAGGAAATTTTTTCTTAACTCAAAGCTTAAAGATTTGCTTATTAATCTTCTGGAGGGTGGGAAGGTGGGAAGAGGAATCAGAGTTTTAGATTTCTGTTTCATCCCTGACCCCTTTGACCTTTTTTTTTTTTTATCATTCCTTTGTTCATTCATTTATTCAGATATATATACATTGGGCCTGTGCTAGGTGCCTACTAGATGGTGGTGAGTGAAACTGAAATAGTGCCTGCCCTCAGGGAGTTTATAGGTGAGATGGGTGAGCGTGGGAAAACCAATAAAACTGATAAATAAGTGTGTACTTATAAAGTGAGAAAATGGCTAAGAAGTGTGCTATGATGGAAAACAGACAGGAAACTGCAAGGAAGGTCTGTCCAATCAGACCAGCATATCCCTGCAAAGCGACCACAGTCACTGCAGGTGGGATGTGGGCGGTCTTACCAGGCAGTCCTGCCCGCGTGCACACACACGCACACCCTATTTTGCTGGGAATCCGCAAGTGGGGGTGAAGACCTCACCTCAAAACCACCCCTTTTCAACCTGCGTAGGAAAGGACAGTGAAAACGGATTTTCACTGCAGCCCCAAAACCGGAAATGAGAAGCAATCTCCAGAATAGTCCCACTTTTGGAAAGAACTTATTTGAGTAATTAATTCCCTTAGACAAGGGAGCTGCTAAAAACCAGCCCGATCCTGACATGTTCTAAGTGACATTTTCCAATCGCAAACACCCATTTTGGCGTTGGGTGGAGCAGTGAGGAGACTCCACGACACACGCCATTGCTTTCACAATGTGTACAAGAGGAACTGTATATAAGAAAGCAAAGAAATAAGGAGGCCTGGCGGGTGCGGTCAGGCCTTGCCTAGCTGCCGGGTCCCTCGGGCAGGAAAGACTCGTCCTCGCGGCCTGGAACCTTGTGTGTCCGGCTCTGGCTGCCCGGGCCGCCGGCGGAAGCATTTCAGAGTGGGACCGCGAGAAGCCGCTTGTAAACAGAGCCGGGCCGGGATGGTCAGCGCCCGGGCGGGCTGTCACCGTGAGGCGGGCGGCAGGCTGCGGGAGTCAAGCCCCTCCAGGAGCGGACTGAAGGCCCCGCAGGTGAATGGAGAGTAGCAGCCGGGGCCCAGGTGAGCATCCGTCTGCTTCTGTGCTGCCTGGCCGGCCAGTTTGGGGGATGGGGTGGGGACGACTGCATTGTAAATATCCGAGCAGCTCCCAGGGATAGCAGTGATTTTGCTGTTTCTTGCATGCTCAGGTTTTTATTACGTGCTGGAGATTGTACCACACTGCAATGGCTAATGGGTGAGGGGAGATTACATGATGCATTGTCTGCTTATTTTTGTGAATCAGGTATGTAATAGGAGGAGAAAGTAGTTGAAATAGTAGGTGATCTTGTTGAGTGCGTTATTAGTATCCCTGCCATCCCCGCCTGGGGATTATAAAACCAAACCCCAGCAGAGCTTTTAACCTACATCAGGCTGGGGCTTCCAGAAAACGATTGTTCTTTCTGTCGACTCTGTCCGTTTTTAATGTATAGTAAATGACACCACATGACTGATGACAAGCATGGTTTGGTCTTGTAGGAAAGAATTATTAAGCTAAAAAATCAAGATAAGAAAATCTCACACTCATCCCTTAAACAAAAATAAATTACTACTGAGATATATATTTGGATGACAAATTGAGACTGGTCTGGATGTATACCTTGCAAAGCAAGACAAATTTGAATTTACCAGGTTAAACTGAGATTGAGCCATGCTGTTGTAAACTTATTTAGAAGTTTATTTCTCTCTTCTTTTTTCTTCCTTGGAAGGGACCAGAGAGAAACAGCTGAATTTTTTTCTCTATATTTTAAGTAATCGTAGTGAGTTGTGATTTGTATTTATAAAGTATTTTATTATAAAATACTACATGTAAATTATAATTGGCATACTTAAAATACAAGGCAGTTTTTGACTGACTGACTTCAAGAAAATGCCTTAACAAAAGCTGGGCTATATATCTAGTCTCTAAAAATATCAGTAGACATTTGTAACCTTGGTCACATAGTCTTTTAGACAGGAGATGAATATTAGGTTAAATTGCACCTACAATAGATAGATATACATAGAAGAAATGATACTAATTCCTGATGAGTTTTTCTTTACAATGAATATTTTTACAATGTCATGGTTTATAGCAAAAACTATAAAGCCAGACTACTTCAGTTTGAATTCCTGCTTGGTCACTTCCTAGTTGTGTAATCTTGGGCAGTTTACTTAGCGCTTCTGTTTCCTAATCTGTAGAATGGGAATAATAATAGTATTGACCTCATTAGGGTTTTTATTATTGTTATTTTATTTTATTTTATTTTATTTTATTTTATTTTATTTTGAGACAGGGTCTTACTCTGTCATTCGGGCTGGAGTACAGTGGCGTGATCATGGCTCACTGCAGTCTCGACTTCCTGGACTCAAGCGATCCTTCCACCTCAGCCTCCCTTGTGGCTGGAACCATAGGCACAAGCCACCACGCCTGGCTAATTTTTGTACATTTGGTAGAGACAGGGTTTCGCCATGTTGCCCAGGCTGGTCTTGAACTCCTGAGCTCAAGGCTTAGAACCGTACCTGGCATATAGTAATTGCTATATACATGTTTGTTAATAAATATATAAAATAAAAATATGCCAGTGTTGAAAGTGGAATGGTGATTACCAGGGCCTGGAGGGAGGCAGGCAATGGGGATTTGTTGTTTAATGCTGCGGTCCCCTGGTGGTTTTTGGCACCAGGGACCGGAAGACCATTTTTCCACAGAGCGGGTGGTGTGGGGTCGGGGAGTAGGGGGGTGATAGTTACGGGATGAAACTGTTCCACCTCAGATCATTAGGCATTAGTTAGATTCTCATAAGGAGCGTGCAACCTAGATCCCTCGCACGCACAGTTCACAATAAGGTTTGCGCTCCTATGAGAATCTAATGCTGCTGCCGATCTGACAGGAGGCGGAGCTCAAACAGCAATGCGTGGCTGGTCCATCGCTCACTGTTGTGTGGCCCAGTTCCTAACAGGCCATGGACCCGTACTAGTCTACAGACATGGGGGTTGGGGACTCCTGGTTTAATGGGTATAGAGTTTCAGTTTTGCAAAATGAAAAGAGTTCTGGAGATTGGCTGCACAACAATGTGAATGTACTTAACAATACTGAACTGTACACTTAAAAATAGTTAAGATGGGGCTGGATATGATGGCTCAGGCCTGTAATTCCAGTGCTTTGGGAGGCTGAGGCGGGGGCATTGCTTGAACCCAAGAGTTGGAAGTTAAGTGAGGTATGATTACGCCACGCACACCAGCCTGGGCAACAGAGCAAGACCATGTCATAAAAAAAAAAAAGGTTAATATGGTAAATTTCATATTATATATATTTTACCACAATTTAAAACTTTTAAATACCAGTGTTAGCAAAGTTATGTTTTCAAAATTTTATTAGCATGCTGCAGCCCCATTCATAGTTAGTTGCCTTTGCCATTATGGAAATACAGCTTCTGGCAGTCAACAGTAAGATTCATTTTTTTAGTAGATTTGTGTAATTGAGGTTTAATTATAAAGAACACAAACAAATGATAAGAAACAACACCTAAGACTGTGGCAGGCAAAATTCTAAAAATGTCTCTCTACTAAAATTGCTGTCTGTAATCTGTGAAACCTGTGCATATAATAAGATATCACTTTCTCAATTATGTTATGTGGCACAGTTTAATTTAAAATGGTGAGATTTTCTGGGTGGGTCTAATCTAATCACAGGAGCCCATACAAGTTGGGAGCTTTCTCTGTCTGGGAAATTGGAGAGACTTAAAGTAGGGGAAGGACTCAACATACTGTGTTGCGGCTTCGAAGGTGGAGAGGAACTGTTGAGAAGGAATTTGGGCAGCCTTGAGGAGTGCTGGAGGCCTAGAGTTGCTGAGGGTGGCCCCAGCTAACAACCAGCATAGAAAGAAATGGGGACCTCTGACATAAGCCACAAGGAACTAGATTCTGTCAACAATCCCAATAAGCTTATAACTGGATTCTTTACCTGAGTTTCTATTAATAGATAAGAGCCCAGCCTGGCCACCACCTTGGTTTCAGCCTTGTGTGAGAGACTCTGAGCAGAAAACCCAGCCAAGCCCATCCAGTCTTCTGACCTTCAGAACTGTGAGAAAATGAATAGGTGTTGTTTTAAGCTACTTAAGTTTGTAGAAATTTGTTATGCAACCATAGAAAACTAATACAGAAAGAAAAATTGAAACAATAGCAAAGTATCATTTTTTCCAAATCTCAAATTAACATAAATTTTCAAAAATCCTCCTCAACAGTTAGTGTGCAGTGCAGCAGACACTTGCAAATGCTAGGAGGGATGCACACTTGCTGTAACCTTTCCGAACAGCTCATTGGTGAATGTATGAAAAGCCTCAATGATGCTCCTACCTTTTGACCCAGTTAATTCCACTTCTAGGGTCCATCCAAAGGAATTTATCAGAAATATTTTAAAAGTTAATGTTCAAAGATGCTCAATATAACTTTATTTAGGAAAAAACATATGTAATAACCTAAATGCCCCAAAATGGGAACAAATTATGGTGTCATCAATAGATACAGTGTTATATAGACACTAAAAAGGATTTTTTAATGAAGAAGTTTAGCAGTGTGGAAAGGTGTTACCAATGATTGCTAGGTGGGGAAAAATGCGTATCTATAGTAAGCTCTGAACTATGTTTAAAAAAACAAAATCTACATAAGGGCTGAAAGGGCCACAACGGGGCAGTGCTTTTTTCCAGTGGAGGGTGAATAGGCATTGTTTATTTTGCCTTTTATTCTCTTTCGTATTTTCAAAATGACAAGCAATGAACATGTAGTACTTATTTATAATCACAAAAGTCAATAAACATTATTTTAAAAGCTGTTAAGTCTCTACATTGTGGGGAATACAATGACTATAAAACATTGTACAGTCAAATACTGGAGATAATAAAATCCATAAATAATGTAATTATGTGGCAGAAAGTGATTTTTTAAAGAAAACAAGATATAGAAAACAAATTATAATTGAAAAGATTGAAAATAAAGTTGGAAACTTATTTCTCAGTAGGGTAATAAGTGAAAGCTTCATGGTAGAAGGATCGCTGAATGTCATATAGAAGTAATAGAAAAAGGAGGCACATGGCTGAATGTTCATTAAAAGTATTTGTTTTCTCATAGATTGATGGATTTAGGTTTTGGGCTATGGACCCAGGTTAATTATACTAGTGGAAAACAACTGTGAAGAATATGTAACCATTTACAGAAAAAAATGGTGCCTGATTAGGAAAACCAAGCTGGTTCTAGCCCAGTAACATCTTCATTAAAAAACATCCAAGGCTGATATTTACTGAATATTTATGAGATACTTGACATACTCTATTACAGTTTAATCTTGTATATAGCCTTTGCTTAAGACTTGAAGTCATTCATTTACATATTTAAAAAGTAGGCAGATAGACAGGTGCTAATTTAATTACTAGTTTCAAAAGGCCTGACTTTAATGGGAACTTGGAGAAGGTTAGACTGGGCAGTTTTTTTAGGATTCTTTATCTCTAGTCAGTTTCCAGCAGCATCAAGCTACTGCTGCTGTTACTTTTATTTTCCCATTGTCACCCTATCCTATTTCACCTCACCCTCTCCTCCAACACCCCTAGAAAAGTACAGAGAGTGTCTGTGGCCCCATTGGTTGCTGGCCAAAGGCTGATTTGCTTCAGCAAATGTTAACCCCTTAAAATAAAAAGTCTGGAGGGATATCTAGCAAGGAGTTTTTTTTTCTTCTTGCGTTCTCCTTTCAGAGTACATTTGGCATTTGGTTCATAAGGAACTGAACTACATCCTAGCTTGGAGTTTCTGATGCAAGCCAATTAATTCAGAGAACTCAGTGCTGAGTGAGAGCGTGATAAAAATGACCACCAGCAATAAATTCCATGCATTATGTTTGCTCTGTTTCATTGGCTACTGTGGGATCATACCAGACATTGAAAAACATGCATAATTTGCCTTCCTGCTGACAAGGTAAAAGTTTTATTTGTTCCATAAGTAATTAATCTTGATGACAGTATGAGTTATGAGCAAAAACCAAAGTCAAAATATGGAGGCAATTGCATTAAGATGTCAGGCATGCTGTTTTCATTAACATTTTGTTTGTTTTCGTACACTCATTAATTGTTAATCTGAGTTATGTGGTTCAAATAGAATCCTTCAATTATATGCCACATTTATGACCATGGTAGAGATTTACTTATCCAGTTCTCCTGACTAGTGTAACCAGTTTATAATTCAGTACAAACTAAAGCTCTTCTGTCTCGCATTAGCCAGTTTACCTGTGAATACTTACGTAACTGGGAAATTGTTAAATATCCACTTCACCTTGTGTTCTGTAGGTGTGATTATATAAATGTTGATTTTTCAGTCACAGAACAAAAAACATGTGTTGCAGGTTAGAAACATCAGAAATATAACTAGCAGATTTTTTGCTCCAGGAAATTAGCTGAATGATCTCCTCCTACATGCTCTTGATCCACTTTTACCTGCACTATAACATTTCCAGAACAACTTCTCTTCCACGTTCAGGGATTCATTAATTTGTTAATTCAGCAAGTAAGGATTGAGCACTTGTTTTGTGCCATGGCACAGTACTTGGAGCTAGGAATGAACAAGACAGGCACAGTCCATGCCTTCATGAAGCTTACAGTCTAGTGAGGGAGACAGACAGTAAACAGGCCATTTGAAAATAACTTGCGTGCTCACTTTGGCAGCACATACATTAAAACTGGAACAACACAGAGATTAGCATGGCTTCTGTGCAGGGATGACATGCAAATTTGTGAAGAGCTCTTTCAGATAATGTTAAGATGTATATGGTTTATACAAATGGTAAAAAATTATAAAGTTAAAAAAATAGCTTGAGATGCATAATAATGGAGGAAATCTGGGTGCTATGGGAGCATATAAGAGGCCATTCAAAATGGACCTGGAGGTCAAGAGAGATGTGATTCCTCGTCAAGGACTGGACAGCTGAATTAGACTTAGCCAGGTTGTGTGTGTGGGTGGGAGGTAAGGAGGGGACAGTGTTGATAAAGAAGATGAGGGTGATGGTGGTGGAAAACAGTGTTCCAGGCAGAGGAAACAGGATAGGTGAGAAAGCAAGTGGAAAATTCCAGGTTTGGTTTTGTTTTCAGACAGGGTCTTGTTCTGTTGCCCAGGCTGGAGTGCAGTGGTGTGATCATAGCTCACTGCAGCCTCAAACTCCTGAGCCCAAGCGATCCTCCTACCTCAGCCTACTGCATAGCTAGGACTATAGGTTCACGCCCCCATGCCTGGTTAACTTTAAATTTTTTTTTTTTGTAGAGATGGGGGTCTCACTATGTTGCTCAGGATGGTCTTGAACCCCTAGCCTCCAGCAGTCCTCCCATCTTGACCTCCCAAAGTGCTGGGATTACAGGTGTGAGCCACCACACCTGGTCCCAGTTTCTATAAATCCTTTCTTTTTTTTTTTTGTGAGATGCAGTGGCACAATCACAGCTCAAAGTGCTGGGATTACAGGCATCAGCTACTGCTCCTGGCCTCTATAAATTCTTTATATGTAGATATAGAGTGGGGTTGAGGTGGGAGTGGGTGTGGGGTGAGGGTAGGGGTAGAGAGAGAGATTAAAGAGATAAGGCCAAGAAGGTAAGTGGCCATAAACTCTTTCAGGTAATGTTAAGATGTGTGTAGTTTATCCAAATGGCAATAGGTTTTAATTTTGGAAAGAACATTTTGGTTGCAGTGTGGTGAATGGATTAGAGGAGGGTAAGACTGAAAGGAAGAAGACTGGATGGTGGTGATTGCATGAAGGCAACGGAGACAGAGAAATGGATAGATGTGGCCAATGCTGTAGATGAGAATTCATATGACTGGCTAATTTGGAGTGATTGCAGGTGAGGGAGCCAGAAGGATCAAGAATGATGTTTATTTTTTGGGGACAGAGGATATGTCCTTTACTCTATGGTGAATGTTGGGAGGAGGGGCAGGTTTGAGGCAAGATGAGTTCTCTGTCGCATATGCAGATATAGAGCTTGAGAGTAGTATGTTTCTTTTTTTTTTTTTCTTTTCTTTTCTTTTTTTTTTTTTGAGACAGAGTCTTGCTCTGTTGCCAGGTCAGAGTTCAGTGGCATGATCTTGGCTCACTGCAACTTCCGCCTCCCAGGTTCAAACAATTCTCCTGCCTCAGCCTCTGGAGTAGCTGGGACTACAGGCACATGCCACTACTCCCAGCTAATTTTTGTATTTTTGGTAGAGATGGGGTTTCACCATGTTGGCCAGGATTGTCTCGATCTCTTGACCTTGTGATCCACCCGCCTTGGCCTCCCAAAGTGCTGGGATTACAGGCGTGAACCACTGCGCCCAGCCGGAGAGTAATATGTTTCTTGTCTGCCACGTGGATTGCAGCTAAAGCCACAGGATGGAGAAGATCACTTGGGGAGGGCAGAAGAGAAACTAGATAAGAGGGTTATGGGCAAAACAGGAATACCCACATTTACGATATGGGCATAGGAAGGGGAACCCATAGAGGGTAGTGGGAGGAGCCTCCAGAGTTGAAGGAGAAATACCAGGAGAGAGCATCTGTGAATTCATGAGAGCAGTGGAAAGAGTGGGTGTTCAGTAGGTCAAATACTGCTGTGTGGTTAGGTCAGATGCTGAGTGAAAAGTCTTTAGGGTTTAGCAAAAAGAAAATCACTGGTGACCTTTTCCTGTGAAGTTTCAGCTGGGGCAGAATCAGACTGCTTCTTGAGGGGAGAATGAATGGGCAATGAGAAATGGAGTCAGAAAGCATAAAGAACAAGTTTCTTCAAGAAACTTACAAGAAAAAAGAGAGGAAGGGGAAAGTATCCTAGCTGTGGGGGAACTTGGGTGGCAAAGATGGATTTTATTCATTTTTTACTTTTTTGAGAAGAGATATTCCGTTTGAATTTTTATGCAACACTTGCGCCACTGAATCCCTCCTTTCCAAGACCACCAGAAAAGCTGATGCACAGCAAACTCTTACTGCCTTGAAAATGCTGGAGGAACCTTGAGTAGATTAAAACCTTATTTCAAAGCTTCCTAAACTCTGTCGCCACTCCCTCCACCAGTTCGTTGGTTTATAATGGAGATCAAAGAGAATGTGGTGACCTTTTTGTTGGTATCAGACACCAGTGGGCATCCTGTACACTGCTTTGGAGTTCATAAAACACTACATTATGTTATTTGATTTGCACTCCAAAAAAGGTGAGACAGTTATCCTTATTTTCCTCACATCACAGACAATTACAGTTGGCCCTCTACATCTGTGGGATCCACATCAGCAGATTCAACCAACCATGGATCAAAAATATTAGGAAAAAAAAATTCCACAGAGTTCCAAAAGGCAAAACTTGAGTTTGCTAAATGCTGAATACTACATTGACTCCACCAAATGAGAGGATGTGTAGGCACTGTAATAGATATTGTAAGTAACCTAGAGATGACTTACAGGAGGATGTGCGTAGGTTATATGCAAATATTGCATAATTTTATATGAGGGACTTGAGCATCTGTGGATTTTAGTATCTGAGGGGATCCTGGAACCAGTCCCCCATGGATACGGAGTAACTGAAATTCAGATTCAAGTTGCTTGTCAAAAATCACACTTCTCATAATGATACATAGAAAATTGAGACCCGGATTGGCTAATTCCAAATATTGTGGTTCAAAAGTGGTTGCCTCACGCTGAAAGGTTAGCTATGGTCTCTGTATTTTCATGGTAGTATGGTAATATGAAACCAGGGTGTGTGTGTGTGTGTGTGTGTGTGTATTTTTTTTTTTTTTTTTTTTGAGACAAAGTCTCACTCTGTCACCCAGGTTGGAGTACAGTGGCTCGGTCTCGGCTCACTGCAATCTCTGCCTCCCAAGGCTCCAGCAGTTCTCCCACCTCAGCCTCCTGAGTAGCTGGGACCACAGCCATGCGCCACCATGACTGGCTAGTGTTTTGTATTTTGGGTAGAGACAGGGTTTCACCCTGTTCCCCAGGCTGATCTCAAACTCCTGAGCTCAGGAGATCCACCTGCCACCATCTCCCCCCAAAGTGCTGGGATTATAGGTGTGAACCACCACACCTAGCCAGCATATCATCTTTTAGTAGATTATAGAAACAAGACTGAAGGTTGTGGCTCAATTTTGTTATTTTGTTTGAACCCTACATACATTGATATTTGCCCGTCCCCCCAACAAAAGTCAAGTTAGTTTTAGAAGGAGGCAGTTTATTTTATTTATTTATGTATTTATTTATTTGAGATGGAGTCTCTCTCTGTCGCCCAGGCTGGAGTGCAATGGTGCAATCTCGGCTCACTGCAACCTCTGCCTCCTGGTTTCAAGAGATTCTCCTGCCTCAGCCTCCCGAGTAGCTGCGATTACAGGCACCCACCACCACAACCAGCTAATTTTTGTATTTTTAATAGAGACAGGGTTTCTCCATTTTGGCCAGGCTGGTCTCGAACTCCTCACCTCAGGTGATCCACCTGCCTCGGCCTCCCAAAGTGCTGGGATTACGGGCATGAGCCACCGTGCCTGGCCAGCGATTTATTTCAATATGCCTTAATCATCAAAATATGTTTGAATTATCGATTGTAACATCTAATTTGAAATATTTCTTTTAATTCTTTTGACAGAAACATTTGTTTGCAGGTTGTTTTAAGTAAACATTTTTACAAGTGTTTCTATTTATTGGCTAAATAAAAAATGATGTTGCAGGGAAACACTAGTAAAAGGCTTGGGCAATTAGGACTATGTAAACATTTGCAGAAGCACTTGTTTCACCTAAATGAAGTCACAGTTATTATACTCTTGCAAACATTCCAAGTAATGTGTCCAAGGTCACTAAGACAATTGAGGTTAGCTATTTAGTTAGAGAACAACTTTTTACTGTGTTTGTTCAGGAACCTGTCTTCTACCATTCCCGTAGAGAACTTATAATAATAACACAGAAGTATTATAGAGGTGATTTTTTTTTGTAAATTAACTATAAACTACTTCCCTGGGTGTAAATATGATATTTAGCAATTAACTCTCTGGGTCATGGGATTAACAAACAGATTTTGAAATAAATAATAAAGTTGCTGGTGTTTGACACTAAAATTTGAAGCACCATGTTCATGTACTAAAATTTTAGCCATATTATCCCAGGGTAATTAATTTGCTTTGAATTGTCTTATGGGGCTGTGTGTGTATCTTAGAGTCTTGTTTCTACTCACTGACCATATTTCCCTAGATAAGTAACTTCATCTTTTTAAATCTCAGTTTCCTTGTCTGTAAAGTAGTAATAATAGCAGCTCTCTAATAGGGTGGTTGTGAGGATTTAACAACATAATGCAGTAAAAGGCTTAACATACGTTAAGTAGTAAGTACTTTAGTAAGTATGCAATAAATATTAGCTATAACTTTTTAATCTTGGTCTTAGATTAGAACTTATAAGAACTATATTTTGTTTTTAAACATTTTATCAAATATATCATTCTACCTTTAAAATGTGTCCATCCACATTGAAGGTGTCCTCTGCAGGACATGTTTAAAGAGATTAGCATAGCCGTAGCAGTGCCTGATTCAACTATTTGAGTCCCAGCTATCATATGCCTATCATCCTAATGTCAGAGCAAAACAATCCGAGAAGTATGGATCAGTCAGAGCCCCAGAATTCAACTCCAGAATGTTCAGGCATTGTTTGATAAAAATCTATGCCATGCTAATGGTAATAGTCCATAATAAAAGAAATTCAGAAACTGTTTTAATGTAAACCCAGATTAGGGGGATGAAAACATAGTTCTTACTACTCTTTTTTGTTTTTTGAGATGGAGTCTGACTCTGTGGCCCAGGCCAGAGTGCAGTGGCGCAATCTTAGCCCACTGCAACCTCTGCCTCCCAAGTTCAAGTGATTCTCCTGCCTCAGCCTCCCGAGTAGCTAGGATTACAGGCGCCTGCCACCACGGCCAGCTAACTTTTGTATTTTTAGTAGAGACGGGGTTTCACCATGTTGGCCAGGCTGGTCCCAAACTCCTGACCTCAGGTGATCTGCCCGCCTCGGCCTCCAAAGTGCTGGGATTACAGGCATGAGCCACTGCACACGGCCAGTTCCTACTATTCTTATCCTTCATACCTTATAAGCTTTTCTTCTGTCCTGTGTGATGGGCAGAGATTCTTCTGTCCTTCAATTTGTGTATAGTTAAATGACAAAGACTCATTCTGTTATTTTGCCTTATCTTGTGCTTATCTTTGAGGGTCAGAGACAGTGTTTTGTCTGCCTTTGCCAGCCTTGCTTGTTTCCTGACTAAATTGGTTAAGAGGCTGATTGGTAGCCAAGGTTGTTGTCACAGATTAAGTCCAAAAGGGAGGGAGAGGTCATAGATGCAGCCCATCACTGCTGAGTATGTCTGCCCTTTCAAACAAGAGGTGAGTCACCTTTTTGCTTAGATCTTATCACTGGTCTCATACTCTCGGGATGCCAGTTAACAAAGACCTAGGCTCACTTTTTAGCAGGTTCAAGTTCAGCAGAGACAGAAAATAAATCAACTAATTACTTCTCTCATACATTTACTCTGAATGCCCATAGAAACTGGTTTGTGAGAGTGTGCTAAGCCATAAGCCGGTTGTTGTTTTGAAGGTTAAAGTTTTAAGTATTCTCCCTTCTGCTGGTGAGTTGCAATGACCAAAAGAGTTAAAGTCAACAGGAAGTGAGGGAATTATTAATTTCCCATGACATCCTCACCACCCAGCAAAGGCCTTCTGTTGGACAGGAATGTGTCTGTGGGTCAGAAAGACTTGAACAGCTTGTGAAGAAGGCCTTTGCATTCTTGCCTTCCATGTGTGGTTGTTAGTTCACATAGTGCTCACTCTCTGGTGGAACCTTTGAGGCTGTTATTGTAGGCTGACAGCTTCATGCAAGAAGCAGCATGATTTCTTTTTTTTTTTTTCTTTTTGAGATGGAGTCTTGCTCTGTTGCCCAGGCGGGAGTGCAGTGGTGTGATCTCGGCTCACCACAACCTCCGCCTCCTGGGTTTAAGCAATTCTCCTGCCTCAGCCTCCTCAGTAACTGGGACTACAGGCACGCGCCACCATGCCTGGCTAATTTTTATATTTTTAGTAGAGATGGGGTTTCGCTATGTTGGCCAGGCTGATCTCAAACTCCTGACCTCGTGATCTGCCTGCCTCGACCTCCCAAAGTGCTGGGATTATAGGCATGAGCCACCATGCCTGGCCCACAGCATGATTGCTGGAGCAGGAATGATTGGTTTTGTTGTATGTTTTTGTTTCCTTTGTTTTTGATTTCTTTCGACTGAAGTAATCTCTGTATACCTATCATTGTCATTTAATTGTGTTCTGTTACTTAAAATTCTTTATTGTCCCTTAATTAGTAATGATTCCTTATTTATGCTTGTATAACACCTTTGTATACTTCTGTTGAAGTGCTTTTTATATTTGGTTTTGTGTCTTACTTTCCACTAGCTATTTAGCTCTTCAAGAGCAGGAGCTGTGTTTTGTGTCTAATATCTCACATAGTGTTTGGGTACTTGGTCCGTCCTCTATAAATGCTTGTTGAGGATAAATGGTTATGTGATTAGAAATCAGCTAACTTCTAATAGAAGTAGTAATTGTTTTAGAGTTTGTAAAGAACTTTCACATACTTTGTCCACATTTGTGCTTCTCTGCTTTCTCAGGTAGATGGGAGCAGGCATTGGCAGGACTTCCATTTGCAGATAAGAAGGGCACAGAGGCCCTGAGTCAGCCTGACTTGCTGGATGTCAGTTAGCTCAGAAGGCAGTGTGGGGACATGACCCTTTCCTGGTGTCATAAATTTATGTTCTTCCCATTGCCACACTTCTCTCACACTGAACAAACTCAATACTTAGTCTGAGTGGCTGAGGGGTTGGATTCAGCCTACTCACTCCTTGTTTATGGTCCTTCTACTAACATCAGGGCCCCTGTATGATTTAAGGTGATTTAAAAGGTAATTGAACTTGGGTGGCCCAAAGTACTCAGTAATTAGACAAGGATTTGAGGAACTTCGTTTTCTTTTCTTTGGGAACTACAATTGACAATAAATGAATCATGGGTTCTCTTTCATCATCTTTAAAATAGTCCCATTACTTTACTCACCTCTCTTTTTTGAGGTTACTACAAGTATTTATTAAGAAGTTTATCAGGCAGGCGGATCATGAGCTCAGGAGATGGAAACCATCCTGGCTAACACGGTGAAACCCCGTCTCTACTAAAAAATACAAAAAAATTAGCCGGGCGTGGTGGCGGGCACCTGTAGTCCCAGCTACTCGGGAGGCTGAGGCAGGAGAATGGTGTGAACCCGGGAGGCAGAGTTTGCAGTGAGCTGAGATCGTGCCACTGGACTCCAGCCTGGGCGACAGAGCGAGACTCCGTCTCAAAAACAATAAATAAATAAAATAAAGAAGTTTATCAGAGTTCGAGACCAGCCTGGCCAATATGATGAAACCCCATCTCTACTAAAAATACAAAAGATTAGCCAGGCCTGGTGGCGGACACCTGTAATCCCAGTTACTCAGGAGGCTGAGCAGGAGAGTCACTTGAACCTAGGAGGCAGAGGTTGCCGTGAGCCGAGATCACACCATTGCACTCTAGCCTGGGCAACAAGAGTGAAGCTCCGTCTCAAAAAAAAAAAAAAAAAAAAAAAAAAAAAGTTTATCAGAGCACTTAAAAATTTTTTTTATTCCATAGGTTTGTGGGGAACAGGAGGTATTTAGTTACTAAGTTCTTTAGTGGTGACTTGTGAGATTTTGGTGCAACCATCCCCCAGGCAGTATACACTGAACCCGATTTGTAGTCTTTTATTCCTCACCCCCTCCCCACCCTGTCCCCCTAAGTCCCCAAAGTCTATTTTCTCATTCTTATGCCTTTGAATCCTCATAGCTTAGCTCCCATTTGTGAGTGAGAACATACGATGTTTGGTTTTTCATTCCTGAGTTACTTCACTTAGAATAGTAGTCTCCAATCCCATCCAGGTTGCTGTAAATGCCATTAATTGATTCCTTTTTATGGCTGAGTAGTAGTGCATCATATATATCTATATGATGTATAGATATATATATCTCACAGTTTCTTTCTATTCGTTGATTGATGAGCATTTGGGTTGGTTCCACATTTTCGCAGCTGCAAATTGTGCTACGATAAACATGCATGTGCAAGTGTCTTTTTCGTATAATGACTTCTTTTCCTTTGGGTAGATACCTAGTAGTGGGATTGCTGGGTCAAATGGTAGTTCTACTTTTAGTTCTTAAAGGAATCGCCACACTATTTTCCATGGTGGCTGTACTATCTTACATTCCCACCAGCAGTGTAGAAGTGTTCCCTTTTCACCACATCCACGCCAACATCTATTTTGTTTTTTTTTTTTTTTTTTTGATTATGGCCATTCTTGCAGGAGTAAGGTGGTATCACATTGTGGTTTTGGTTTGCATTTCCCTGATCATTAGTGATGTTGAGCATTTTTTCATATATGTATTGGCCATTTGTTATCAAGCACTTTAAACTTTATTCTAAACCATGCATGTGAAAAATGATTATTTTCTGTAAAAACCAAGTGATTTTTTCCTGAGATTAACTCAGTTTTAGTTTTGTGAGATAATTAGATAAACACAGTCCTGTATTGAATTTAGAAACACAGCCTCTATTACTCAGGCTCAAGTAGAAGATTCTAAATAGTTATATAAACTGATGACATCTTTAAGTCTACTTCCCCAGCCCTTTCTGGGTATCTTGCATATTTGGTCTCACTGTACTTCCTTGTTACATTCACTGTTGCAGTCAGCCACACTAGCTGGCTTGGCCCTGATGGAACCTACTTGCACCTCACCTGTGACTCCTGTTGCAGTTGGAGGCTGATAAAGTTTTTATCATGGAAGTTTTTGCCTTCTTCCTCTCAGTCCCAAGATAAAGCTAATTCAAGTGGTTCTTTTGTTTGTTTTCTAGTCAGTGTTCTCTGCCATGGAGGCAAAGGGAGATGGAAAACATCAAGTCTGCATTTTTAGACATTTCGTAACTGAAGTTTGTGTCTTCCTGCTTTGTTTCTAAGAGCAAGACATATTGGATCTCTGGTGGTTTTATGAAAATGGGCCATTTTGGTTTTCCAATTTCACATAAAGGTGCAGTAACACTGCTGCCTTCAGTCGCAAAGCAATCTGAGATTTAAAGTGCCATGCTTATATTTAGTTAGGTTTCTGAGGCAGCAAATGTCTCAATGATTTTGCAGGTGGCAAACAATAAACATGTGCAGAGATGTACTGAAAAATGCTTTAAATGGATTGTTGGGACTACTTCAAAGGGAACATCTCATTACTGGTGTTGTAAAGAGCTTGAGCTCTAAGTCATTGGAAAATGAACCCAGCCAAGTTGCTGA
Organism: Homo sapiens; assembly: GCF_000001405.40. Classification (NCBI taxonomy): domain Eukaryota; kingdom Metazoa; phylum Chordata; class Mammalia; order Primates; family Hominidae; genus Homo; species Homo sapiens. The sequence continues at coordinate 2,222 of NW_018654710.1, read as the reverse complement.
TAGTGTAGTGGTTCACAGGACAATTCCTAAGTAATGCATAGGTGCTTTGGTTTCTATAAAAGGTCTGAGTGAGGTTTTTGCTACCTGATCTTTGCCATATTATTTTTTAAACCCAGGTTTTAATAGTTAGGAAGACTTTTCTACCAAGAAAAAAATGTAAAAGCTTGAGTCAACATAACGTTTCGGAAAGTATGTCAAATTTTACTGAAATGAGCCTATAAGGAATTCAAATATAATTTTGCCAGGAAACTAGAGTGGTATATATACTTACAGATGTCAGTGGCTTGAAAATATACTGTTTATTCAGTTATTCATTTGGCAAATGCTTACTGAGTACCCACTGTGTACTAACCACAGTTCTAGGCCCAGTGAGAGTTACACAAATGGAAGAGGGCAGAATTGCTGCTTTCAAGTTCCTCTAAGTCCAGTAGGTAGGCGTGTTACTTGATATCAGGTAAGTTACTTGATATCATTGAGCTTCCTCATTCGTAAAATGAGGGTAATAGTACTCACATTGTACATTTTGGGGCTTAGAGATATGAAATACCAAGCGACATACCTGGCACAAAATAGGCTTTTGATAACCTGTAATTATTGTCATCGTCATTTGAGAAGGAACATGCAGCATATAGTATATGTTGTGGGGGAGGTACCAAAGATATTCAGTGGCAGTTTAAAGAAAGAACAGACCATTTTAGGATCAGGGACCCAAAAAAGCTTGCGGAAGAGGTGGCATTTGAGCTGGGCCTTGAAGAATAGAATTTCAGTAGGTTGAGGTGGGAAGAGGGTATTTCAGAGATAACTGCAAGCCTTTCCTGAAATAACTGGAAAAGCAATAGCATTCAGTTTGGAGGTAAAGAGTGTGTGAATTGAAGTAGAAAGTTGGAATGGCAAACTAGCCCAAGATTGTGAAAGGCCTAGAATGTCAGGTTAAAGAGTTGAACCTTGTTGTCAATGGGAGCTTCGTCGAAGGGTTTCCCTGGTGCCCAGAACAGTGTCCCCCCCATAGTAGGCACTCAGCAAATACTTACTGAATAAATAACTGAGTGTAATTTTAGACAAATGGAGCTTAGTAAGCCAGGTAGAAATGTCTTACAAATAGCTGGGAACATAGGACCAGAAGTCAATTCTGAGATTGAGACTGAAGGTAGAAATTTGAACAGCGTGAATATAGAAGAAGTTATTGGAGTTGCACGTGTGGATAACTTGATTTAAGGAGAACATCATGTAGCTCTAGCCAGAGAAGAGAGCTCAGACAACACCCCTATTTGACCAGGAAGGGAAGGAAGAAGATGGAGACTAAGTGGGTAGAAATGAGAAGAAAACTTCAGTGAATGTGGTACCCACAAAACCCTGGGAGGAAACTTTTAAGGAGGGGCTGGTTAACAGCACAAGGAATTTAAGGACTTTGGGAAACACTAATGGCTGTGTAACAAGGAGGTCCCTTGGTGGCTATAGAAGAGAAGTTCAATTGAGTGGGGTCTTGTGTCAGGTTGTAAGGTATAAGTAGGCACAGCACTCCCTGGGACATTTTTTTTTGTCTGTTTTTTTTTTTTTTTTTTTTTTTTGGCAAGGTTAGTATTTACTGGTATTTGATTTTTTTGGAGCATACATTTAAACAAACAGTGTGCCCAAACTGTGTATATAGTTTTGATTCCAATTAAATATTGGATAAAAGTACACCTATTTATTTTCACTGAGTTATGAGATCATGACTGATTTTTATTTTCTTTTCCATATCTGTCACTATTTACCAGAGTTTCTACAAGTATTTATTACTTTTAGAACTGGAAAAAAATTATATAAATTATTTTTATTTATTTATTTATTTTGAGACAGGGTCTCACTCTGTCCCCCAGGCTGGAGCGCAGTAGTTCAATCACAGCTTACTACGACCTTGAACTCCTGGGCTCAAGGGATCCTCTTGCCTTAGCCCCCTGAATAGCTGGGACTACAGGCACATGCCACCACACCTGACTAATTTTTTATTTTTAGTTTTATTTATTTATTTATTTTTGAGATACAGTCTCACTCTGTCGCCCAGGCTGGAGTGCAGTGGTGCAATCTTGGCTCACTGCAAGCTCCGCCTCCCGGGTTCACGCCATTCTCCTGCCTCAGCCTCCCGAGTAGCTGGGACTACAGGTACCCGCCACCATGCTCAGCTAATTTTTTGTATTTTTAGTAGATGAGGTTTCACCATGTTAGCCAGGATGGTCTCCATC